>NC_000004.12:87103199-87254714 GCF_000001405.40 Homo sapiens | reverse complement strand
ACAATCCATCTACATCACATAGAGAATGAAAATTAGGCTAGAAAAAAAGATTATATTTTTGCTTTCCTAATGGCTTTCTACTGCACTTAAAACAAAATCCTTTACAATGGCCTATAAAGCCCAATAGGATCTGGCCCCTGGATACATATGTCTGATCCCCTTTCCAACTTCTCCCCCACTCTGTCATTGTCAAAGTCAAATAAAATATAGAGATAGATCTCTCTATTAAATGCTTTATTTGGAAATCACAGAATTGCCATTCCGGGCATAAACTCAGGCTGGTGTTGTCTTTGGTACGTTGGAAGAAGCAAGAGAAGGTTGGGAATTTTATTAGAAAGAGAAATGATATGTATTGTTTTGAAAGAAACCTCATTAGCACTACAGAAACTTTTGGGAGCTGGCAAGCCCTGGATGGGGAGTAACAGTGGTAGGTAAAACCAGTCTTAGAGTCAAGGCAGGTTGCTTCAGCAGTTACTAGGTAAAATTGGTCTTGGGGTTACAGCAGGCTGGGCTTGCAGAAAATTCAGTTTTTAGAACTGTCGGTCTGTGCCTTGAGTGCTTTCTCCCTCTGGACTCTGATTAAGTTGGGTATGACAAGAATTACACAATTCTTTTGATCAGCTTTCACACTAAATTTCAGCCACAAATGCCTTTTTTTGTTTCTGAACACAGCAAGTTTCTTCACACTGGGCCTTTAAAAGTATATTTTGCCAGGCATGGTGGGTCACGTGTTTAATCCCAGCACTCTGGGAGGCCATGTTAGGAGGATCACTTAAACTCAGGAGTTTGAGATCAGCCTAGGCAACATAGTGAGACCCTGTCTATAAAAAAATTTAAAAAAATTAGCTGGCCATGGTGGCATGCACCTGTAGTCCCAGCTACTTGGGAGGCTGAGGCAGGAGGATCCTCTGAGTCCAGGAGACCCAGGTTGCAGTGAGTTGTGATTGTGCCACTGCACTCCAGTCTGAGTGACAGAGCAAGACCCTGTCTCTATAAATAAGTAAATAGGTCGGGTGTGGTGGCTCACGCCTATAATCCCAGCACTTTCAGAGGCCGAGGTGGGTGGATCACCTGAGGTCAGGAGTTCAAGACCAGCCTGGCCAACGAACATAGTGAAACCCCATCTCTATTAAAAATGCAAAATTTAGCCAGGCATGGTTGCATGAGCCTGTAAACCCAGCTACTTGGGAGGCTGAGGCGGGGGACTCACTTGAACCCGGGAGGTGGAGGTTACAGTGAGCCCAAATGGCGCCACTGCACTCCAGCGTGGGTGACAGAGTGAGAGACTCTTTCTCAAATAAATAAATAAATAAATATAAATATACATTTCCCTCTGGCTCGAACACTTCCCCTAGGTGGTAATGTGACAAGGTCTTTGTTAGCATGTGGTAGGATGTTTATAAATATCTTTGAAATGAATAAAGGAGAAGGTAATAAGGATTTTAGTTGGTCATTTATTAATTCAGTAAATACTTTTTGTTCATTTATTACATGCTAAGCACTGGTGATACAAATGGGAATATAAGACAAGTTATAGCCTTACTTCCCTCTTCTTTCAATAGAAAAAGGACAGTAGTTGGCCGGGCGTCATGGCTCACGCCTGTAATCCTAGCACTTTGGGAGGCCGAGGTGGGTGGATCATGAGGTCAGGAGTTCAAGACCAGCCCAGTCAAGATGGTGAAACCCTGTCTCTACTAAAAATACAAATATTAGCTGGGCATGGTGGAGGGCACCTGTAGTCCCAGCTACTTGGGAGGCTGAGGCAGATAATTGCTTGAACCCAGGAGGTGGAGGCTGCAGTGAGCCAAGATTGCACCACTGCACTTCAGCAAGACTCCGTCTCAAAAAGAAAAGAAGAGAAAAGAAAAGAAAAAAGGCAGTTGTTTTAGATGCTTATAGAAATGTTAAAATATCCAACTGGAATGGAAACAGGATTGCTAAATCAAAAATTAAACCAGTGGGGCCGGGCATGGTGGCTCACTCCTATAATCCCAGCACTTTGGGAGGGAGGTCGAGGCAGGCAGATCACTTGAGGTCAGGAGTTTGAGACCAGCCTGGCCAACATGGTGAAACCCCATCTCTACTGAAAATACAAAAAAATTAGCTGGGCTTGGTGACGCATGCCTGTAATCTCAGCTACTCAGGAGGCTGAGGCAGGAAAATTGCTTGAACCCAGAAGGCAGAGGTTGCAGTGAGCCGAGATTGTGCCACTTCACTCCAGCCTGGATAGCAGAGGGAGACCCCATCTCAAAAAAAAAAAAAAAAATTAAATCAATGTGTAAATGGATTAACAATAAAGCTTAAATTCAAAGATTCTTCCCCATTGTGCAAACTGACTTTGTTCTCTTAGTGAGTTCTTCCAGAGGCAATTACCCAAATGATTTCTTATTTCGGCAAAGTCCTGTCAAAGACTCAAGGGGAGGTAGAGAGAACAGTATAATAAACTCCCAGTATAAATAGTATAATAAGCTTACCTTCCATCTTCAATAACTATCTTCTCATAGCCAATCCTGTTTCATTTATACCTCCCCACTTCTTCCTCTACCCACTAGAGTATTTTGAAGCAAATCCCAAATATCGTATTCTTTCATCTGCATTTTAGTATTTTGGCAAAAATCTCTAAAAGATAAGGACTGTCTAAAATATGCTAATTACCTTACCATTATTACACCTAAAAATTAATAATAATTAATACCAATATACAATCCATATTCAAGTTACTCTAATTGCTTTATATTTTTATAGTTGTTTTGTTCAATTAAGAAGCCAACAGGACCCACACATAGCATGCGGGAAAAAGAGATCTACAAAGATCTCTTAAGTTTCTTTAAACCTATAGCTCTCTCTCCAACTCTTTCTTTCTTTGCAATTTGTTGTTTAAAAAAACTAGAAGTAGGAGATCAGGGTCAGATATATAGCCAGGGGTCAGATTTTGTAGGCCTTTATAGCCCACTGTAAGGACTTTGGGTGTCAAGTGCAATGGAAAGCAATTAGAAAAGTGAAATATTATGATTTTAGGTTTTTTCTAGCCTTATGCTCATTCCGGCCACTGTATGGAAATGGATTATAGTGGGCAAGAGTGGAAACAAGCAGAGTTATTGCTGTCTCCAGCACATAGTCACTGCCCTGAACCATGTGGTCCCTCAGTTATGACTTTACATGAAGATTTTCCTATTCTCAAGATATTCAATAACTACATTGGAACTAGACATTTCCTACTAAACAGCCGTCTTTGGGACAAGAAACAGCCTTCTCTTCAAAATTCTAGAAATTTAACATGAGTGAGCACATAGCAGATTAATCTTGGCGTGGCAGAAAATAGTCTTCACTTGCTCTGAAGTGCTCCCCTCTGTGCAGTGACAAAGTGGAGCCCGGCCAAACTTGCCAGTATGAACTGAATCCTACTGTTTGCAGCCATTCTCGCTGAGTCTGCTTGAGTTGGCAGCATTCAAAGGAACTCAGCCCCGGTGAATTATCAGAGCCAAGTGCCCCATCCTGTTTCGTCCAGCTTCTACTTCAAAATAAAATGAATATTTCTAATGTGATTGAGCACTGCAGATAGAAATGCAGAGATTTAATAAAATCCACCTTTCAAAAAGAATTAATATGGAAGCTTTGGGATTTGCATGCTGAAATGTAAATGCCAGCAAATACCTTTTTTAACCCAGGAAAATTAATTATAAATTGTTTTACTCTCCTGTTTTTAAAGATAAGATTTTCCAATATCCTCCAGAAGGCACAATAATTCATTTGAAAATGAATTATCTTTTAAATTATTTGCTGTCTGGATGCAGGGTCTCACACCAGTAATTCCAGCAGTTTGAGAGGCTGAAGTGGGCAGATCGCTTGAGCCCAGGAGTTCAAGACCAGCCTGGCCAATATGGCGAAACTCTGTCTCTACTAAAAATATAAAAAATTAGCTGGGCTTGGTGGTGTGGGCCTGGGATTCCAGCTACTTGGGAGGCTGAGGTAGGAGGATAGCTTGAGTTTCTGAGGTTGAGACTGCAGTGAGCCATGATCGTGCCACTGCACGCTAGCTTGGGTGACAGAGCAAGAACCTGTTTAAAAAATAATAATAATTAAAAATATATATATATATATATATACTTTTTTTTCCGTTTATCATTCTTTTGGCCTTTGCTACACAGTCACAGTGACAAACTAAATAATGTATTGGTTCGATGGACTTTTGTATCAGAACACTTGGATGTGAATCCCAACTCTGTCCCTTACTTTTGTAACCTTATGCAAGTTGCTCAACCTCTCTGAGTTCAGGTTTCCTCCTCTGAAAAATAGGTATAGTAATAGTATTACCAAAACACCAGGGTTTGGTCTAGGTCTTGCTGCTTGCTGAACAGAAAGCCAGTCACTGAGACGACAAGTATTGAGAAGGGAGGAGGCTTTAATAGGACGCTGCAGCTGAGGAGATGGGAGATCAGTCTCAAATCCATCTGTCTGATAGAGTAAAACCAGGGATTTACACAGCAAGGAAGAAATGTAACAATGTGGAAGAAAACAGAAACTAGGGAGGGACGAGAAGGCAATCATGATGAATGAGGGGTCTCGCATCTGATGCAGTGATATGGTGAATTTCAAGGTTTTTTTTTTTTTTTTCTTTTTAGTAGAGTTGGGGTTTCACTGTGTTAGCCAGGATGGTCTCTATTTCCTGACCTCATGATCCACCCACCTCGGCCTCCCAAAGTGCTGGGATTACAGGCATGAGCCACCACACCTGGCCTGTGAATTTCAGCTTTTTGATAGTTTTATTTTTATTATTTTTTTTGAGAGGTCTGAAGGTCCTTTCCTGAGAAAGGAACTTAGATAAAATAAATGTAAGTTTCAAGTTGTAAAACGAGAAAGGCCAATTTCTTTGTTTATCCAAGAGAACAGTCTATGGGACTATTGGCTCAGTTTCAGTAGAACTACAGTATGTCATAAACTTGTAGTGAGGTGTAAATGGGTTAAAATCTGATTGATTTTGAACACAGCCTGGCACATAAGTGCCATAAAATATTAGATATTTTTATTAGCTACCTCCAAAGTTTTAAAATGTTGGTGAGGCTTTTTTTTTTTATAGTTTAGTTTGATTTTTGGTATACTCACAAAGTTGTGTGCAAGCATCACCACTATCTAATTTCAGAGCATTTGCATCACTGCTGAAAGATTTCCTACACATTGGTGGTAACTCCTCACTCTACTCTCCCCTCAGCCCTTGGCAACCACTAACCTACTTTCAGTCTCTATGGATTTGTCTATTCTAGACATTACATATAAATGGAATCTTAAAATATGTGGCATTTTGTGTCTGACTTCTTTCACTAAGCAAAACGTTTTCAAGGTTCTTTTATGTTGTAACATGTATCTGTATTTTACTCCTTTTAATGGCATAATAATATTCCATTGCATGGATATCACATTTATTTATCCAATCATCAGATGATGGACATTAGATTGTTTCCATTTTGGGGCTATTATGAATAATGCTCCCATGAATCTTCATATACAAGTTGTTATATGGACATTGTTTTCAATTCTTCTGAATAAATATCCAAGAGTGAAATTGCTGGGTCATGTAGTAACTCTATTTTTAACTATTTGAGGAACTGCTGAACTGTTTTCCAAAGCGTCTGCACCATTTTATATTCCCACCAATAATGTATGAGGGTTCCAATTTCTCCACATTTTTGTCAACAATCATTATTATTTGTCTTTTTAATCAATGCCAACCTAGTGGGTGTCAAGTGGTATCTCACTGTGGTTTTGATTTGTATTTTGCTAATGACTAATGTTGTTAAACATCTTTTCATGTGCTTATTGGCCATTTGTATATATTCTTTGGAGAAATGTCTATTCAAGTCCTTTGCCCATTTAAAAATTGGGTTGTCTTTGTTTTATGGGATGTAAGTGTTCTTTATACATTCCGGACATAAGTCCTTAATCAAGTATATGATGTGCAGATATTTTCTCCTATGCTGTGAGTTGCCTTTTCACTTTCTTGACAGTGTCCTTTGAAGCACAAACTTTTTTTTTTATTTTGAGGAAATCGAATTTTTAAATGTTGTTTTGTGTTGCTTGTGCTTTGGATGTCATATCTAGAAACCATTGCTTAATCCAAGACCACAAATATTTATGCCTAGGTTTCCTTCTAGGACTTTTTTTTTTTTTTTTTTAGAGGGAGTCTCGCTGTATCACCCAGACTGGAGTGCAGTGGCACAATCTCAGCTCACTGCAACCTCCGCCTATTAGGTTTAAGAGATTCTCCTGCCTCAGCCTCCCGAGTAGCTGGGATTACAGTCATCTGCCAACATACCAGGATAATTTTTTTGTATTTTTAGTAGAGACTGGGTTTCACCATGTTGGCCAGGCTGCTCTCAAACTCCTGACCTCAAATGATCCACCTGCCTTGGCCTCCCAAAGTGCTGGTATTACAGGCATGAGCCACCACACCTGGCCCCTTCTAGTAGTTTTGTGTCCAGAGTTGGTTCCTGCAGCTGGGTTCCTGGTCTCACTGACTTCAAGAATGAAGCTGCAGGCCTTCCTGGTGAGTGTTGCAGCTCTTAAAGGAGGCACGGACCCAAAGGGTGAGCAGCAGCAAGATTTATTGGGAAGAGCAAAAGAACAAAGCTTCCACAGCGTGGAAGGCAACCTAAGCAGGTTGCTACTGCTGGCTGGGGTGGCCAGCTTTTATTTCCTTATTTGTCCCCACCCATGTTGTTTTTGTCCTAACAGAGTTCCCTTTTTTCAATCCTCCCTGTGATAGGCTACTATTAGGATCCTGCTGATTGGTGCATTTTACAGAGCATTGATTGGTGCATTTTACAGAGCGTTGATTGGTGCATTTTACAGAGTGCTGATTGGTGCATTTTACAATCCCCTTGCTAGCTACAGAGTGCTGATTGGTGCGTTTTACAATCCTAGCTACAGAGTGCTGATTGGTGCATTTTAGAATCCTCTTGTAAGAAAGAAAAGTTCTCCAAGTCCCGACTCCACCCAGGAGGTCCAGCTGGCTTCACTTCTCAGTTTTAACTTTTACAATTCGGCCTTTCATTCATTTTGAGTTAGGTTTTGTATATGGTGTGAGATAGGGTTCCAAATTTATTCTTTTGCGTGTGCATAGGCAGTATGTTTATCCTTCTACCAGTTCCACACTGCCTTGAGTACTATAGCTTTGTAGTAAGTTTTGAAAATGTGAAGTTCAAGTCCTCCAATTTTGTTCATGTATTAAGATTATTTTGGTTGTTCTGTGTGCCTTGTATTTCCACATGAATTTTAGGACCAGCTTGTCATTTTCTGCAAAAAAAAAAAGGCAGTTGGGATTGTGACAGGAAATATGTGAAATCTCTAGATCAATTTGGGAAGTATTGCCATCTTAACAATAGTAAGTCCTCTGATCTATGAATACAAGATGTTTTTCCATTAATTTAGGTCTTCTTTCATTTACTTACACAATGTTTTATAGTCTTCAGTGTATAAATCTTGTAGCTCTTTTGATGCTGTTGTAAATGAAGTTGTTTTCTTAATTTCATTTTTTGTTTTTCATTGGTAGTTTATAGAAATACAATTGATGTTGTATATTCATTTTTGTATCCTGTAAACTTGTTGATTTCATTTATTAGCTCTAATAGTTCTTTTGTGGATTTCTTAGGGTTATCTATATGTAAAATTATGTCATCTGTAAATAGAGAAACGTTTACTTTTTCCTTTCCAATCTGGACGCCTTTAATATATTTTTCTTGCCTAATTTCCCTGGGTAGATGTCTAGTACAATATTAAATAGAAGTGGCAAGAGGAAAACTCCTTGTCTTGTTCCTGATCTTAGGAGAAAGTGTTTAGTTATCACCATTAAGTATGTTAGCTGTTGCTTTTTCCTAGATATGCTTTATCAGGATGAGGAAGTTCCCTCTATTCCTAGTTTGTTGTGTTTTTATCATTAAAGGTGTTGAATTTTGTCAATGCTTTTTCTGCATCTATTGATATGATTGTGTAGGTTTCACCCCTTCATTATATTAATGGTGTTTTAAATTGATTGGGTTTCATATGTGAAACTTCCCTTGCATTCCTGAGATAAAGCCCACTTGATTATGGTATATAATTCCTTTCATATGATTCTGGATTCAGTTCACTAATATTTTGCTGAGTATTTTTGTATCTACATTCAAAAAACATATTGGCCCATAGTTTTCTTCTCTTGTGATGTCTTTGTTGACACCAGAGTAATGCTAACTTCATAGAATGAGTTGGGAAGTTGGGACAGACCTATCTATTTTATGTAGGTTATCTAGACCTATAATTGGCATGTAATTGTTCACAGCATTTCCTTATAATTATTTTTATTTATGTAAGGTTGATAATAATGTCCCCACTATCATTTCTGATTTTAGTAATATGAGTTTTAGACCTTTTGTTCTTGTTCAGTCTTGTTAAATCTTTGTTGACTTTTTAAAAAAAAAAAAAAACTTTAGTTTTTTTTATTTTTCTCTTTTGTTTTTATAGTCTCTATTTCATGTATTTCCACTCAGTTGTTATTTCTTCCTTCTGCTTTTTTCAGGTTTAATTTTCTCTTCTTTCTCTATTTTATTTTATTTATTTATTTATTTATTTTTTGAGAGAGGGTCTCACTCTGTCACCCAGGCTGGAGTGCAGTGGCATGATCTTGTCTTACTGCGACCTCTGCTGCCCCAGCTCAAGCGATCCTCCCACTTCAGCCTCCCAAGTAGCTAGGACTATAAGCATGCATCACCACACCTGACTAATTTTCTATATTTTCAGCAGAGACAGGGTTTTGCTGTGTTGCCCAGGCTGTTCTCAAACTCCTGGGCTCAAACGATCCACCTGTCTTGGCCTCCTGCAGAGCTGGGATTACAGGCGTGAGCCACCATGCCCAGCCTCTAGTTTCTTTTTTCTTTTCTTTTTTTTTTTTTTTTGAGACAGTGTCTTGTTCTGTCACCCAGGCTGAAGTGGAGTGCCACAATCTTGGCTCACTGCAGCCTCCACCTCCCGGGTTCAAGCAATTCTCTGCCTCAGCCTCCCGAGTAGCTGGGATTACAGGTGCCCGCCACCACGCCCAGCTGATTTTTGTATTTTTAGTAGAGACGGGGTTTCACCATCTTGGCCAGGTGGTCTTGAACTCCTGACCTCATGATCCACCTGCCTCAGGCCCAGCCTCTAGTTTCTTAACGTGTACAATTAGGTTATTGATTTAAGCACTTTCTTCTTTTCTAATATAGGCATTTCCACTTATAAACTTTCCTCTAAGCTCTACTTTAGCTGTATCCCATAAGTTTTGGTATGTATTCATTTTCACTCATCACAGAGTATTTTCTAATTTTCCTTGTGATTTTTCTTTGACCCATTGGTTATTTAAAATTGTGTTGTTTAATTTTTACTTTTTCATGAATTTCTCAACTTTCCTTCTGTTAATGAGTTCAAATTTTATTCCATTGTGGTCAAAGAACATATTTTGTATGATCTTATATTTTAAAATATATGTGATTTATCAGCTAATGTATGGTCTATCCTAAAGAATTGGTGAATGTTCCATATATACCTGAGAAGAATGTATATTCTACTGTGGTTGGGTAGAATGTTCTATAAAAGTCTGTTAGATCCAGTTGATGTATAGTATTGTTTAAATCTTCTATTCCATTGTTGATCTTCTAATTGTTCTACACGTTATTGAAAGTGGATTACTGAAGTCTCCAACTGCTCCAACTGTTGTAGAATTGTCTATTTGTCCCTACAGTTCTGTCAGTTTTTGCTTCATGTATTTTGATCCTCTCTTTTTAGGTGCACATATGTTTATCATTGTTCTGTCTTCTATGTCTTCTTCTGTCATTATGAAATGGTTTTTTTTTTTTTGCCTCTAGTAATAATTTTGTCTTAAAGTCCATTTTGTCTGTTATTAGGAGTGCCACTTCAGCTCTCTTTTGCTTACTGTTTCCATGGTGTATCTTTTTCCATTTTTTTAAACTTTCAATTTATTTCTGTCTTTGTTCTAAAGTGTATTTCTTGTATACAGCAAATAGTTGAGTAATGTTTTTGTGTTCATTCTGCCAATCTCTACCTTTTGATGAGAGTGCTTAATCTATATACATACAGTATAACTACTTATAAGGTAAAATTTATATCTGCCATTTTGCTGTTTGTTTTCCATATGTCTTGTGTCTTCTTTTCTTCCTCTATTCTTCTATTATTCCCTTCTTTTGTATTAAGTATATATTTTCAAGTGAACAAGTTTAGTTTCCTTGTTGTTCATTTACCTATTTTTTTAGTTGATTTCTTAGTTCTTGCCCTTGGGGTTATAATTAACATTTTAATTTATAAAAAACTGAGTTCAGATTAATGCCAAATTAATTTCTTTCTTTTCTTTTTTTGAGATGGAGTCTTGCTCTGTCACTCAGGCTGGAGTGCAGTGGCGCGATCTCGGCTCACTGCAAGCTCCACCTCCTGGGTTCACACCATTCTCCTGCCTCAGCCTCCCAAGTAGCTGGGACTACAGGTGCCCGCCACCATACCCGGCTAATTTTTTGTATTTTTAGTAGAGACGGGGTTTCACCATGTTAGCCACAATGGTCTCGATCTCCTGACCTCGTGATCCACCTGCCTCGGCCTCCCAAAGTGCTGGGATTATAGGCGTGAGCCACCGTGCCCAGCCTAATTTCAATTATATACAAAACTTTGCTCCTATATAGCTTTATTCCGTCTCCTCTCCTTTATGCTATTATTGTCACAGAATTTACATCTTTACACATTATAAGCCTGTCAACACAGTTTTATTGCTTTATGTAGTAATGTTTTAAACTGGATAAGAGCAAAAAAGAATTACAAATAAAACTGTATTTGTATTGTCTTTAAAATTTACCTATGTTGTTGCTTCTTCAAGTTGGTTTGAATTGCTATCTAGTATTCTCTACTTTCAGCCTGAAGGACTCCCTTTAGCATTTCTTGTAGGGAAGATTGCTAGTGATGAATTCTTTTCAGTTTTGTTTATCTGGAAATGTCTTAATTTGTCCTTCATTTTTAAAGGTTAGCTTTGTTGGATATGAAATTCTTGGTTGACAGTCTTTTTCTTTCAACACTTCGAATGTCATCCCACTGCTTTCTGGCTTCCATGGTTTAGGTGAAAAATTGGCTGTTAATCTTATTGAGGAAACTCATATGTGATGAGATTTTATTTTCTTTTGTTGCTTTCAGATTATCTATGCCTCTGGCTTTTGGCAGCTTGATTATAATGTGTTTCAGTGTGAATCTCCTTAAATTTATTTTTGCAGATTGGGTGCAGTGGCTCACACCTGTAATTCCAGCACTTTGGGAAGCCAAGTGGGGAAGATCACTTGAGCCCAGGAGTTCAAGACCAGCCTGGACAACATATTGAGACCCCATCTCTACAAAAATTCAAAAATTAGCTGGGCATAGTGGCACACACCTGCAGTTCCAGCTACTCAGGAGGCTGAGGTGGGAGGATCACTTGAGCCTGGGAGGTTGAGGCTGCAGTGAGCCATGATCAAACCACTGCACTCAGCCTGGGTTACAGAGTGAGACCCTATCGCAAAAAATTTGTTTAATCTTTCTTTTTCTCTTTCTTTCTTTCATTCTTTCTCTCTGTTTTTTTTTTTTTTTTTTTTTTTTTTTTTTTTGTCAGAGATAGTCTCACTATGTTGCCTAGGCTGGTCTCAAACTCCTGCCTTCAAACAATCCTCTCCCACATCAGTCTTCCAAAGTGCTGGTTTTATAGGTGTGAACCACCACACCTGGCTTATCTTTGCTTTTATAAAGAAGCACATTGTGTTTCTTGAATGTATGTATTAATTGTTTTAGTTAAATTTGAGGTGTTTAACTATCATTTTTTCCAATATTCTTTCTTCCCCTTTCTCTTTTTCCTACCCTTCTGGGATTCTCATTTTATATATGTTGGAACACTTAATGATGTCCTGCAGGTCTCTGAGGCTTTGTTCATTTTTTGCTTTCTTCTGTCTCTTTGTTCCTCAGACTGGATAATCTCAAATGACCTATCTTCAAGTTTGCTGATTCTTCTTTCTGCCTTCTCAATCTGCTTCTGAGCTTTTCCAGTGAATTTTTAAATATCAGTTATTGTAATTTTCAACTTCAGAACTTCTTGTTTTTGTAATCTCTCTCTCTTCATTGATATGCTGTATTTGGTGAGGCATTATTTTCATACTTTCCTTTAGTTCTTTAGACACAGTTTCCCTTAGTTCTTTCAATATTTTTATAATAGCAGATGCAAAGCCTTTGCTCAGGAAATCCAATGTCTGGGCTTTTTTAGGGGCATTTTCTATTTATTGCTTTTTATCCTGTGTATTCACTCTACTTTCCTCTTTCTTCACATGCCTTGTAATTTTTGGTTGAAAACTGGACATTTCCAACAAAGTAATGTGGCACCTCTGGAAATCAGACGTCCCCTCCAACACACACAGGTTTGTTATTATTGCTGTTTGTTGTTGTTCTGTTGCTGTTTGTTTATTTAGTGACTTTCTTGAACTAATTCTATAAAATCTGTATTGTTTGTCATGTGTGGCCACTAAAGTCTATATTTGGTTAGCTTAGTCAACAGATCATAATTGAACAAAAATTTTTTTTCAATGTCTTGAAGTCCTCTAGCCTTTGCCAGGGGACTCTGAGAATGTGTATTGGGACATGCTTTCAATGCTCTGGCAGGCAGTTTACAACTCTGCCTGTAGTTTTCACTCTCTACTTGTGCAGAGATTCAAGTTAGCCAGAGGTGGGAAATTACAGCCTCCTCAGGTCTTCCCTACTCATCATGCATAATGCACCATATATGTACTTGGCCTTCCAGATTTCTGGAATATATCAGAGCTTCTTTTTAAATTTTTAAAAATTATTTTATTTTATTTTTATAGATTTAGGGAGTAAAAGTGTGTGATTTCTTACATGCATGTATTGTGTAATGGTGAAGTCTGGGCTTTTGTGTACCCATCACCTGAATAGTGAACATTGTACCCAACAGGTTGTGTCAGATCTTTTTAAAGACCCCCTATGGACATCCCATTTCCTACCTTTTTCTTTCAGCTTCTTTGGCCAGCTTCTTGTTTGCCCCAACTCTTATCATCACGTTAGGCAGCTGTGATATTAAACAATTTTGCTTGTTGTTCTCAACAATTGCCCCAGGGAAAAGGCTGTTCACAGTCAGTGAACCCTTAGATCAGATAAAGACAACCTTTGCAAATAGGGCTTTCAGAAAGCTGCCAGATAAGTCCTATAATGACAGTTCTCTGGGCTTTGGGCTTTTGAGAGTTCCAAATCCATTCTGGCCATCTTCAGAGACTGCTAGACTGCTGGTTTTCATGGCTGTCATGATAGCAAGGTTGTTAATTTTCAAGACTTCTAGGGAGCTGGGGAGAGAAAAATGGATTTATGGCAAGTTAAAATGCCACAAATCTCACCGTTTTAACAATATTTAGTCATTTTTTAAAATAAATACTTTTTAGATTGTCGTAAACCTTTGATGAATTTCCAGAGTTCTGAAAATATTGATTTTGACCATTTTTGCCAATCTTCTCGCTGTTTTTTTGGAGGAGCAGATTTTTATGGAGAAGATCTTCACTCCACCATGTGGAAGTGGGTAATATGATTCCTTTTTTGACCAGTAATTACTGAATGTCTCTTAAGTACAGGGCTATACCTGAGGAAAGAGTCACACAGATTTATCTAAAAACTTATTGCTACTGTATACATTGGCTGTTGGCAGAGGAAAGAGAAAAAAAAGTAAAGCTATAATAAATAAATTTGTATACTAATTCAGACATAGATCAGAAAGCAAAAAAATAGAAAAAAGAATATATGTGTATACTATTATCATTTTGATTAATGGATTCAGGGAAATTTCTGGAAGAGAAATTTTTGAAAACATTAGCCATTTAAAAACAAGGGCATGCTTTTCTTTTTTGAACAGTTATGGATTGTTATCTGTGAGTCTTACATAAGACTTCCTGCTTAAGGGCTATTTCAGTCTATGAGAGGAAATAATGGGAGAACACAATTAATATGAATTTTTACCATTAAACCACCTTTGATTTAATTATCTCAGAGAACCTATAACCCTTTAAACAATTCAGCTTCAGAGCACCCTGGAGAGACACAGAAGGTTGTCAGGGACACGTGATCCAGGATATGTGTTTCCTGGATGATTTTGTTTCAGCTCATTTATTCCTAACACAGAAGCAAGCAGAGTAAACAAAAAGATAACTCATGCTGTAATGAGGACCTTGTGAACTGGAACAACTGAAGCTACTGAAGAGCCTAACAACTGGACAAATAAATGAAAGAAGACTATAAAGAGCAACAAATGGAAAAAGTACTTTCTAAGTACAAAGTGGTGTTTGGAAGACAGTGCTGCCAGTGTTTTTCTGGTAATTCCTCTTTAGATGCTGTCATTTTCAGAAGAAGCTGATGTAAATGCCTCTACAACCTAAAGCCCAGGTGAGCTATGTTGCCTTGGTTTGATTATCTAACGATTCCTTAATCTAACATTGCAATAAGACTGTGAAGTAGAAGACAGAAACTTTTTTGTCTATGGTATTAGAAGACAGAAGCCCTGGGTGCTGCTTTTAGGGGCAGCATGTATCTTTTCCTTCTCCAAGCTGGCTGGAGGAAGTGTTCTCAAAGTGCTGTGGGGAAAAGAAACCATCATGATTCATTTATGTGGAATATCAGATAGTAAATTATTAGGACTTTGAGCAAACATTTAAAATTCCATCAGTGCCTACCAGATGAGGGGGTTAAGATCATAGAAACTCAAAGGTTTGTTCTTGGATGAAATTCCTATGAAAAGGGGATGGGAAAAAGAGGGAAGAATCTGGAGGCTGATGATTGAGAAGTAGCACTGGACCTGATGGGGTTTTCTCTTTTTACTTTATTTTTAGAATTACTGTAAATAATAATACTAACCTGGCAAGGAGGTTTTACAAACCATGTTTCTCAAATAAATCTTACCTTGAAGAAGCCATGTAGGTAGTTTCAGCCCAAGGTTCTCATAAATTCATCCTCTGAGGATGTATTGTTAGTACTGCTGAAACACCTGCTGCCTCTTGCATATGTTCTGGATTATTTGAAGGAGGGTGAAAGGGAACTGAGAAAAAGGTACCCAGAGGTAAAGCTTGGCCTTATCCACCTCATCACCTTTTCTCTGATCTATTATCAAGCAGAGAGGAACTACTGAACTTTTCACTTATTAGAAGTGCGCATGTTCCTTAATTCTTATGATTCAATAAACAGCCAAGCTTGGAGAGAGGTACTGGGAAATAACGGAGCTTTGCTCCTGCCAAGTCTGTATTACACATCAGATGGAGTCAGATTCTTAACAGGCGCACTGGAGCCTCTCCCTGGGGTCTCCTTTCCAAGCCCTGCTCCATTTCCCACTTGAATGTCTTTAAAGAGTCACAACTTTATTCATTCATCAAGCAAACAAATATTTACTGCGCACCTACTATATCTTCCAGGCTTTTAAAGAAACGCTAGAGTGTCTTTTGAAGGAACTCTTCTATCTACTATACTCTCCACTTATCTTAAAATAAGTTAAATTTCACATATTTAATCACAAATATTTATTGAACACTACTACTTAGAGAAGAACCTTACTGAGTGCGAAAAAGGTATATATTGTATTGAAGACAAAAGAATCCAGAGCTCTGGGGAATCTGCATTTTTAAAAAATATAATAGAATGTGTTGAATTTAAAATAGGTGTCTCGAAACAATATTTACGTGGAAAAAAAGTCACTAGAGAGACCAAATGGAATGGTAAATTTGACTGCTAATTGTTACAGTTCACAATAACTTAATGATAAAATATAGGCAGATAGCATGAAAAATTACATTATCTCATGGAGCCAATTTATACAGGACCAGGGTAAAAATTATGGATGCTTGAGCACTGAAAAGTCATGATTCCTTCTATCATATGTATTTCCAGATCAAAATAATATTAAGCTTTCATTAAAATAAATACAAATAAGTCCAATACATTTTTTATTTTTCCAATGATAACTTTACTTTTCTCCTGTCCATTTTGGTAGCTACTAGCCACATATGACAATTTGTATTAAATAAAATTAACAATTTTCTTTCTCAGTGTTAAACTAGGCCCATTTCAAGTGCTCAATAGTCACATGTGACCAATAACTACATTATTAAAAAGAACAGATATAGAACTTTTTTGTGTGTGTGACAGGGTCTTGCTAGGCTGGTCTTGAACTCCTGGGCTCAAGCTATCTTCCAACTTGGATCTACCAAAGTGCTAGGATTATAGTTATGAGCCACCACCATGCCTGGCCAAGAACATTTTCATTATCACAAAAAGTTCTATTACACAGTGCTGACTTAAATGCTTTATGAAAATACATAACAAATATTTTCAAAAATGATTTTCTCTTTTTTCTTCTTCTCTACAAATATGCTTGGTGAGAAATCCAGGAAATATAAGAAATGCATGGAATATAAGATGTAGGCTGAGCGTGGACGTTCACGCCTGTAATCCCAGGACTTTGGGAGGCCGAGGTGGGTGGATCATGAGATCACGAGTTTGAGACCAGCCTGGCCAACATGGTGAAACCCTGTCTCTACTAAAAATACAAAAATTAGCCCAGCATGGTTGTGCACGCCTGTCATCCCAGCTACTCAGGAGGCTGAGGCAAAAGAATTGCTTGAACTCAGGAGAAGGAGGTTGCAGTGAGCTGAGATTGTGCCACTGCACTCCAGCCTGGGCGACACAGCAAGACTCCGTCTTAAAAAAAATGATATAACACTAAAACACATTAACAGAACACAGATATGTTTAGATATGTTTTTCTGAAAAGGTAGCAAAAACAGAACTCATTATTATTATCAGTGTCAAATCTGTATTATTATTATTAGGGACAGGGTCTCACTCTGTCACCCAAACTGAAGTGCAGTGAGCCAAGATTGTGCCACTGCAACCTCTGCCTCCCAGGCTCAAGTTATCCTCCCACCTCAGCCTCCTGAGTAGCTGGGACCACAGGTGCATGCCACCATACTCAGCTAATTTTTGTATTTTTAGTAGAGACAGAGTTTCACTATGTTGCCAAACTGGTCTCTAACTCCTGGGCTCGTGCAATCTGCCTGTTTGGCCTCCCAAAGTGCTGGAATTACAGGTGTGAGCCACTGTGCCTGGCTATGATTTGTTTATTTAATCAATGACTGCATCAGTATGTTGTTTGTTAAGACTTCCAGTGAAATAAACTAGAACTAGGCTAATTTTCTGTTATTTATTATGTTGAAAAAACACATTTTGTTTTGTTTTGTTTTTAGTTTCTACTGATAACAGTTAAACAATTTTAAGGAAAAAAATATGCATTGTATTGGCAAGTATCTCATTATTTATTTAAGACCCAGCTCAAATACAGCTTTTCTTTGAAGACTTCTCTGATTATCTAGAAAAGTATGTGTCCTTATAATCTTCCAATACATTCTTCTTTCCGTGTTTTATTGCTGTTATTTGCATTATTATAGTGTCTTCCCCAGCAGACAGTTGGATTGGGAGTTCTGGGAGGATGAGAACCATATTCTCAGGCCTGACACAGTGACTGGGACTCAATACGGTGTTCATCTGGGAACATGGCTGCTGGCCAGTTCTGGGATTTTTAGCTATGGGAAGGACATGTGGCACTTAGGAATTTTGTTTCACATCTGTTGTGAAACTTCCCGCTGTCAAAGTGTTTGAGATTGTTATTGTCATCTTCATTTTAGACACAATACAGACTAGGTGCCGTGGCTCGCGCCTGTAATCTCAGCACTTTGGGAGACCGAAGCGAGTGGCTCACCTGAGGTCAGGAGTTCGAGACCAGCCTGACCAACATAGAGAAACCCCGTCTCTACTAAAAATACAAAATTAGCCGGGCTTGGTGGTGCACGCCTGTAATCCCAGCTACTTGGGAGGCTGAGGCAGGAGAAACGCTTGAACCCGGGAGGTAGAGTTTGCAGTGAGCTGAGATTGTGTCACTGCACTCCAGCCTGGGTGACAGAGTGAGACTCCATCTAAAAAAAAAAAAAAAAAAAAGACACAGTACAGATAAATTAAATGACTTTTCAAAAGGTACGCAATGAATAAAAGTCTGGGCTGTAATGAAATTTTCAGTCCTTAGTGTTCTAAAGTGATGTTATGCCCTTCCTTGAGGTTGCCTCCCTTAAGGTGTCTATTAAGAAATCAAATTCATAGGCCGGCACAGTGGCTCACGCCTGCAATCTCAGCACTTTGGAAGGCCGAGGCGGGCAGATCATAAGGTCAGGAGTTCAAGACCAGTGTGGCCAACATAGTGAAATCCCGTCTCTACCAAAAATACAAAAATTTGCCGGGCATGGTGGTGCGCCCCTGTAGTCCCAGCTACTCAGGAGGCTGAGGCAGGAGAATCACTTGAACCTGGGAGGCGGAGGTTGCGGTGAGCCGAGATCGCCCCACTGCACTCCAGCCTGGGCTACAGAGCGAGACTCCGTCTCAAAAAAAAAAAAAAAAGGAAAAGGAAAAAGAAATCAAATTCATACTTTTTCCTGGTATAAGGCAGATATTTTAAGGTAGAAGGAAAAGTGACAAATCTTACATAAAACTCTAGAAGAAAGGCTACTGTTGTTTGAACCTCGTGTCAAGGCTTACTTTAAGAAAGAGCCATTTCATTCGCTTTTTTTGGTTTCTATTTCTACCAACTTGGAGGCAGAGCGCTTCGTCACTACTGCTGTTTTACCAATATATTCCAGCAGAGGGCGCTCCAAGCATTTTACAACGTTTCCAATGGCGCCTTCGATTCCCCCTTCCCCCGCACCCTCCTCCCCACCGACCCGCCCCGCGGCCCGCAACCTCTCCGCTCTCATCCCAAAGACTTGTGTTTTGGCCTAATCCTTCTGGTGCCAAGTCATTGAAAGGTCCTGTTTACCCCTCGGGTTGTATTAGGAGCTGATAGGGTTTGAGAGATATTCTGCATTTTATCACACCTCTCCATATTCAATTCAGCAGGTCATATTTAAATATGAAATATAGAGGATAATTTTCAATGCTTGATTAGCTATAGAGATCATGCTAGGTGACGATTAAATGATAACAATTATGCTTTTTCTCCACCCTGCCCCCCAAAGTGTAGTTTATTCAATTCATCTCAAATGATGACAAAGGGATATTTTTATACTTTCTTCATTTGGCACCTCAAATACAGCCATGTGTTACTTAACAAGATTCTGAGAAATGCATCACTTTGTCTTGTGAACATCAGGGAATGTGCTTATACAAGCCTAGATGGTATAGCCTACTACACACCTAGGCTATATGGTCTAGCCTACTGCTCCTAGGCTACAAACCCACATGGCATGTTACTGGACTGAATACTGTAGGCAACTAGAATACGGTGGTATTTGTGTACCTAAACGTAGGAAAGGTACACTAAAAATACGGTATAAAAGATAAAAAATGATACTTGTATAGGGCACTTACCCTCAATGGAGCATGCAGGACTGGAAGTTGCTCTGGGTGAGTCAGGGAGTGAGTGGTGAGTGAATGTGAAGGCCTAGGACATTACTGTACACTATGTAGACTTTACAAACACTGTACAGTCAGGCTACACTATAAATAAAATATATTTATTTATTCAAATATTTATTCTTTCTCTGGTAATAAACCAACCCTAGCTTACTGTAATTATTTTACTTTATAAACTTTATAAACTTTAGAACACACTGTACAGCCATTCAAAAATATTTTCTTTCTTTGTATCTGTATTCTTTAAGCTTTTTTATTCTTTTCTTTTCTTTTTAAACTGTTGGTTAAAAACGAAGACACAAGCACACATTAGCCTAGGACTACACAGTGTCAGGATCGTCAATATCACTGTCTTCATCTCCACATCTTGCCCCACTGGGAAAGTCTTCCGGGGCAATAACCCACATGGAGTTGTCATCTCTATGATAACAATACCTTCTTCTGGAATACCTCCTGGAGGACCTGCCCCAGGCTGTTTTATGGTTAACTTTTTTTGAAATAAGTAGGAGTATACTCTAAAATAGCAATAAAAAGTATAGTAAATAAACCAGTAACATAGTCATTTCTTATCAAGTATTATAGAATATACATAATTGTATCTGCTATACTTTTATACCACTGGCAACACAGTAGGTTTGTTTACACCAACATCACAATATGCACATGAGCTTGAGTAATGCGTTGTGCAGGACATTATCATGGCTATGACGTCACTAAGGGATAGGAATTTTTCAGCTCCACTATAATCTTTTTTTTTTTTTTTGAGACAGAGACTCACTCTGTTGCCAGGCTGAGTGCAGTGGTACGACCTCCGCTCAGTGCAACCTCTGCCTCCCAGGTTCAAGCAATTCTCCTGCCTCAGCCTCCTGAGTAGCTGGGACTACAGGTGTGCACCACCACGCCCAGCTAATTTTTGTATTTTTTAGTAGAGATGCAGTTTTACCATGTTGGTCAGGATGGTCTCAATCTCTTGACCTTGTGATCCGCCCACCTTGGCCTCCCAAAGTGCTTGGGTTACAGGCGTGAGCCACCACACCCAGCCAGCTGCACTATAATCTTATGACACCACCCATACATGCAGTCCTTTGTTGACCAAAACATCCTTATGTGATTTATGATTGTACTTTAAAGTATCTCTACATCTACAGTATGGACCCAGAACTCATTCTACTCTAAATGTAGTTCTTCATCCAATAAGTGAACACTGATTGTGACAAATAGTTGGCTCACTTGCATTTTTGGTAGTTTATGTAATGTCTAAACAATGACAAAGAATGCATTGTCGAGTGCTTCTAAAAGATACATTTAGCCTGAAATTAGTATTTTTTAAAATATTGTTTAAAATAGAAAATCAAAGAATGAAAAAAGAAAATGGAAAAATATTTATCAAGTATCTTCAATCAAGATTTTGTAGGCATAAGTGGTAACGTGATAAAAATTGATTTTATAAAAAACCTAGGCAGACCAAAGATTTAAATATACAATGTAAAATTCAAAATTTTAGAAGAAAATATCGTTATGTCCCAGAAATAGGAAATATTTCTCAAAGAAGATATAAAAGAAACTCAACCCACTAGGTAAATAGGTGAAGTCTGATCAGTTTGTTTACATTCTTTTATTTTTATTTTTTGAGAGAGTCTCACTCTGTTGCCCAGGTTGGAGTACAGTGCACAGTCTCAGCGCACTGCAACCTCTGCCTCCCGGATTCAAGCCATTCTCGTGTCTCAGCCTCCCGAGTAGCTGGAATAAAGGTGCGTGCCACAACGCCCAGCTAATTTTTGTTGGGGTTTCACCATGTTGGTTAGGCTGGTCTCAAACTCCTGACCTCAAGTGATCCACCCGCCTCGGCCTCCCAAAGTGCTGGGATTATAGGCATGAGCCACGCACCCGGTCAGTTTGATTACATTCTAATCAAAAGCTACCTCCCATTGGAGTTTGAGATCAGCCTGGGCAACATGGTAAAACCCTGTCTCTACTAAAAATACAAAAAAATTAGCCAGGCATGGTGGCCTGTGCCTGTAATCCCAGCTACTCGGGAGGCTGAGGCAAGGAGAATTGCTTGAACCCTGGAGGCGAAGGTTGCAGTGAGCCAAGATCATGTCACTACACCCCAGCCTTGGCGACAAAGCAAGACTCCATCTCAAAAAAGAAAAATAAAAAGATACCATTGGAAAGCAAGATTATCAAAAGATATCACTAAAAAGTAAGACAAGTCACAAACTGGAAGAAGATATTTAATACTCACATAATGTACAGAAGATTACTACTCAGAATATTTAAAAATTACACCTAAAAAAAACTAATTGGAAAAAAAAACCTAATAGAAAAATGGACCAACAAATTGAACATGGATTTTACAAAAAGGAGATCTGAATTGGTAATAAATATATTAAACATATTAAAACCTCATTCATAACTAGATAAGTGCAAATTATGATCACAAGATTAGGGAAAAATTAAAACCACAAGATACTATTTTATGTCTACCACTGGTATAAATTAAGAAGTCTGGTAAAACCAAGTCTTGGCCAGAATGTACGATCACTGGAGTCCTCAGAAAACTACCTTAAAAGTGTGCATTGATATGACAATCTTGGAAGACAATTTGGCATTTTTTAGTTACATCGAAGTCATGCATATTGTAAAACCAGCAATTCCACTTCTGGAGAAACTCTTGTATTTGCTATGTACCCTTATACATATACACGAGTGTCCATAGCAGCATTGTCTGTAATTGAAAAAACTTGGAAGTAATCCAAGTATCCATCAACAAGATGAGTAAATTATGGTATATTCATATGATGAAATAGTATGTAGCAGTGAAAGATGAAGAAACCACAGCCATGTGTATCAACAGGGATGAATCTCACAAATACAATAAGAATAAGAAAAGCAGATTGGAGAAAGATACATACAGTATGATTCTGTCCATTTAAATTTCAAACACATGCAAACTAAATGCAAATAGGGTACAACTACAAAGAAATACATGAGAAAAATAAATATCACATTCAGATAGTGTTTACTATGGGAGAAAGAGAGATGTGTTTGGAAAGGAGCACACAGAGGTAAGTGCACAGTTCTATTTAATTATCCTTTTTATACACTCATAAAGAATAATTAACCTCATATACCAGTAAGTATAGGAAATGTATAATTATTTTTGAATATTAGAAATTATTAGCTTTGAAAGGGAGATGTCATCAATAGAATGTGGTATGTTTATGTTAGATTCATGGTTATAGAAATAAAGCATTAGGAGAAAATCTGTGAGATAGTGTGAACAATAAAAGTGGACAATCAACCGGGCATGGTGGCTCACGCCTATAATCTCAGCACTTTGGGAGGCCGAGGCAGGCAGATCACTTGTGGTCAGGAGTTCGAGACCAGCCTGGCCAACATGGCGAAACCTCGTCTCTACCAAAAACTAAAAAAATTGGCTGGGCATGGTGGTTCACGCCTGTAGTCCCAGCTGCTCGGGAAGCTGAGGCAGGAGAATCGCTTGAACCTGGGAGGCAGAGGTTGCAGTGAGCTGAGATTGCGTCACTGCACTCCAGCCTGGGTGACAGAGCGAGACTCCATCTCAAAAAAAAAAAAGAAGTATTTGTGGGACATAGAAGTTATATCAAGCAAAGCATGTCCTTGTACATGCCTGCCACAGGTGGGATGAACGTTACTGTTCACAGGTGGGGTGAACATTACTGTTCACAGGTGGGATTATCACATCATTCTCCCACTGCCATTATTCTGCAGGTGGCATGTTGAGGCAGAAGGCTGGCACTGAGCACCTGCCTGTCTTAGGTTGGGTTACCCCAGAAGCAAACCCAGACGTAAGGGTTTAGATTTATTAATAATTAAGTCAGGGTATTTCATTTGGAAAAGGATCCCAAAAGGCACTGGCAGGAGAGGAGGGAAGAAAGAAAGAAAGGGAAGAAAGTCAATGAAGGGTACATTATCACACAGATTCCGCGGAGGGTGACCAGGCTCACTCCCCTGGGAAACTGAGAAACCAGGCAGAATGCACCTCAGAGTTGCCCCCACCGGGCAGGTGAGGCCGCTGTGATTTTCAGACACCAACTCCCTTCAGTCACTGGTTGAAATCCGCTTTCAGGGAGGGGAGAGAGGACAAACTTCTCAGTACTTCTAGCCTGCTGTGCTGGCCAGGGCTACCCAGACAGAGAGAAAAATCCCCCAGGTGAAGGGCTGGACATTTCTCCAGATGGAAGTCCACATTCCACTTGTATGCTACACAGCCCCGATGTCAGGAACATACATATTGACGCGTGCAAAAATACTATGCAAAAAATCCTAACATCTAGGCTTCTGGTTCTTCCTAATACTGATTTTAAATGATTCTTTCCATCATAATGTGAAGGTGTAAGCCTGTCCTGGAGCAGGTAGGGAGTGGGATAAAAAGTGAGGGGCAGGAATTGAGAAGATTACAATTCTGATCACCTGGTCTGTGCTTAACACTGCGTTAGATGCTGGAAATAGATTTGTAACTCTTAAGCTGTGGTCCCCAGAGCTAATAATATAATCAGTACTTATATACACATGAAACATTTAAGTGTTAATAAAAGATTTATAGATTGTCAGTGTGAGTGATACAGATAAAAATGCTAACTGAGGAGAGAGGCATTTCTATGTTTAAAAGTAGGTCATACGTGGAATTCTTGACCAGACTAGAGGATTACATGACAGTTGGAATGAGGTGATCTAGGTGATAATCCCAGCCTGAACAAAAACGTTAATAGTAGGGGTGCTACTTGTCTCTCCAGATCTCTCCAGATTCGTCTTCACCCTTCTCCACCTTGATTGGTGCCAGAAAACGTTATGGATGAAATTGACAGAAGTCCTTGTCCCCTGGCTTCCAGCAGTTATATTGGGGGTGGAAGTGTCACTTGAGGAGGTCAAAGGGAAGGGCAGGAAGATTGGGGTGTTTCTCTCTCAGCTCCGTTCTTGCAGGGTTGTCATGAGTTAGCTGTTTTCCTTTGTCAAGACCTTAGTCAAGAGGTGCTCTACATACAGCTTCCTCTCTCCAGGTTCCAGGAACCGCTCTCTTACTAGCTCAGAAGTACTGCATTATTCCTTGCAGCTGCCTCTAGAATCTGTCCACACCTTTACTAAACTCTCCTCAAATTGCTGAAGTGTGCCATGAGTTTTCTGCCAGTGACCTGACTGAGAGGGTGGGAATGAACTTGAGAGGAGGGAGGAGTGAGATGTTTGGCCAAACTTGAGGAAAGGGCTCACGTTGAGAAGGGAGGGAGGTAAAACGAATATTCTTTTAATTCTTGTCTAAAGAAAAAGGGTAGGTGGTGGCGGGCACCTGTAGTTCCAGCTACTTGGGAGGCTGAGGCAGGAGAATGGCGTGAACCTGGGAGGTGGAGCTCGCAGTGAGCTGAGATTGTGCCACTGCACTCCAGCCTGGGTGACAGAGTGAGACTCCATCTCAAAAAAAAAAAAAAGTAGGCCAGGTGCAGTGGCTCACGCTTGTAATTCCAACACTTTTGGAGGCTAAGGCAGGTGGATCAATTGAGGTTAGGAGTCCGACACCAGCCTGGCCAACATGGCGAAACCCATCTCTACCAAAAATTACAAAAATTAGCCATGCATGATGGCATGCACCTGTAGTCCCAGCTACTTGGGAGGCTGAGGTAGGAGAATGGCTTGAACCCGGGAGGCAGAGGTTGCGAGCCAAGATCGCACCACTGTACTCCAGCCTAGGTGACAGAGTGAGACCCTGTTCCCTGCACCCCCCCCCACCAAAAAAAAAAAAAAAAGGAAAAAGATATTCCAGATTTGAGGACCATGTTCTGAGGGAGGTTTCAAAAATTCGGGCTGATGTGTAAATGGCTGCTGGTCAATGTCCATGCTGCAGAGGTGATCACATGTCATCTGTCCTGTGGTCTGCTTAGCCTCATCTGTTTTCTATTCAACAGTTGCAAGCATAAAGGCAGAGTCTCTGTGTAGTACCTCTACCAAGTAGGCATATATCTAATTACCCTCTGGCCTTCTATAATTCAAGTCTTAGCCGATGATAAAAGGAGCAACTGAAACCTTCCAAATAGGCTGAACAACAGGCTATTTTATTCTAATAGTCTAGTTTCACCTGTGAGGAAACAGGCTAAAAGTTTTTCTTCTGGTTCTGCTTCTTTGAAAAAGAAATGCAATTATAATTTTTTTAGTGTAATTTCCATGTTCAATGTTGGCTTTTAAACTCCCAAGGGGAATCACTTAGCCAGAGAAGCTGAGAATTTGAGCTTCTTTCTGTACCATCTGTGCAAAGATTATGGGTACATGGGTGGTAGATTGTGGCTTCATGACTGGTAGCAACCATTTAGGGGAAGAAATTACATCATCTACAAAAGGTTGCAATATAACCTCCAAGTATTATCTTTAAGTTTCCATGAAAAATGGTCAAAGTCCAGGGAAGTAAATTCACATACCCTGTCTGATTATTCAACCCTAGTTTATCTCTCAGTTGGTGGTTTTCATCTGCTGATCTCTTTATGACTCCTGACTTTTGTACCTTCTTTCTCCACTGACCCAGTAAAAGAATAGGCTTAAATTGCTGATAAAAAAGTAAAGAAAGCCTGAAAGGCTGGGCAGGCCACTTGGCAATTTGGGAGTAGCCATGTTTGTTCCAGTGCAAATATTATCCTTTTCTCAACTGGAACTTCCAAAGCCTCCAGGTCTTTAGTGAGACTGTTTTGGTAGAAGCCACCAATCAAGTATAATACGGTTATGCAATCCAATATTAACCACCCAAAGTTAGTGCCAACTCCACAGGTTAAGGGCATAGTCCCTGAGAAAACTGTCTTTGCTTCAGATGCAAGCAGCAAGTTTGGGAGTCCTCAGACCACCGTCACCTCTGAACCAATGGCTACAAATTCAGGGGTTCCCATGGCCCCCATAGGTTCAATAATTCATTAGAATGACTCACAGAACACAGGAAAGCACTATATATATAACAGCTGTGTTATAATGTTAATAGATACAAATCAGTATCAGCCAAATGAAGAGAAACATTGGGTGAGATCTGAGAGGGTCCCACACGCAGAACTTCCATGTCCTTTCCTCATAGAGTCAGGAGGTGTTGCCCTCCTGACACATCAATGTGTTCACCAACCAGGAAGTTCCACCAAGCTTTGGAATCCAGAGGGTTTTTTTGAGTTTCATTTATGTGGGCATGATTGATTGAATCACTGGCTCTGTGACTGAACCCAAACTCCAGCCTCCTACCCTCCTCAGGGATCAGGAGATCAGGCTGATATCAAATGGCAGAGAATATACAGGGTTGCATAATTTACTGTAATGTAATACACATGCACCTCTGTATGCTCTTAAATCAGGGTTAGGTCTGGCTATATAAAACCAAAAGCCCTGACACAGTGGCTTAAGCAAGATAAAAGCTTATTTTCATTGCACAAAGGGAGGCAATCCTGGACTAAAATGATGGTTTAATGGTCATCAGGGACTCAGGCTCCTTCTGTCATTCATCCAGCATCCTATACATGACTTCCAAAGACAAATAACTTAGTTATTTATTTAGACACGAGGTCTGGATTTGTTGCTCCAGCTGGACTGCATGGCATGATCATAGCTCACTGCAACCTCCAACTACTGGGCTCAAGGGATCCTCCCACCTCAGCCTCCCAGATAGCTGGGACTATAGGTACATACCAACACCACTGGCTAATTTTTTTCTTTCTTTTTAATTTTAGTAGAGACACAGTCTTGCTGTGTTCTCCAGGCTGGTCTCGAACTCCTGGACTCAAGCTTCCTTTGTCTGGGCCTCCCAAAGTGCTGAGATTGCAGGCATGAACCGTGGTGCCCCGTCTCCAGTGTCAAATAACTCTATGGTCCAAGATGGCTACTAAAACTCAAGCCATCGCTTCCAGGAAGAAAGAAAAACGAGAGAGATACTTTAAAACTGGATTAGTTTCCTTTAAGCAGCCATCCCCAAAGTCCTGTGCAATAGTTGCACTTTTAGCTGGGCTTTCAGCCATCCTGCTAACAATATTGGAGTTCTCCTTCTAAAGAAGAAGGCAAAAAGATGCTGCTTAAGCAGCTAGTAGGGTCTGCCATGTTGCATTTATTTTCATATCAAAAAATAAACTTTTCAGATTGACTCTATTATGAGAATGTGAAGATGATATCAGAAAGGAAATATAATATATATTATTTATATATAATATATATTATTTATATATTATATATTATTTATATATAATATATATTACTTATATATAATATATATTATTTATATATAATATATATATTATTTATATATTATATATTATTTATATATAATATATATTATTTATATATAATATATATTATTTATATATAATATATATATTATTTATAAATAATATATATTATATATAATATATATTATATATAATATATATTATATATATAATATATATTATATATAAATAATATATATTATATATAAATAATATATATTATATATAAATAATATATATTATATATAAATAATATATATATTATATATAAATAATATATATTATATATAAGTAATATATATATTATTTATATAAGTAATATATATTATTTATATAAATAATATATATATTATTTATATATATAGAGAGAGAGAGAGAGCGAGAGAGAGACAGAGTCTTGCTCTGTTGCCCAGGCTGGAATGCAGTGGCGCGATCTCAGCTCACTGCAACCTCCGCCTCCTGGATTCACGCAACTCTTCTGCCTCAGCCCCCAAGTAGCTGGGACTACAGGCGTGCACCGCCATGCCCGGCTAATTTTTGTATTTTTAGTAGAGACAGGGTTTCACCATGTTGGCTAGGCTGGTCTTGAACTCCTGACCTCAACTGATCCACCCACCTTGGCTTCCCAAAGTGCTGGGATTACAGGCGTGAGCCATCGCGCCTGGCCTAATATAGAGCTATATCTTAATGAAAGAAGTACTTTTCACAGACATCGTACATTTGGAATACAAATTGCAATGGAAACACAATTACATTTGTTTCACTGTGCCAATTTCTACCATACATATGGATACAATTTTGCTCAGAAGTATGTGGCACATGTTTCAAAAATAGTTACTGAAAATCAAAGTTTCTCTAAATGTGTTTTTTTCTGGTAACTAAAGTCACAGTTCTTGAATGTGGTAGGGATGGAGGCAAATTGCTCTCATTCTGTCATTTCTCATATTGCTCCGGAGAGAATTCCACAGTTCCCCCACATATTCAGCCTGAGAATTCAACCCTATCTAGGCAGGTTCATGGGAAATGGAAACTGATTAGACTTGGGTATGATGGAGTAATAAAAATAAAATGCTAAAAATGAAAACAAAACAAAAAAACAACAACACCCGCATTTCAAAAGTCACCAGCACTAGTAATTTTCAAAAGAAATGATTTAGAGCACCAACAGAACTAGCAGTGGTCATAGCAAGGATGATGCTTTCTGTTTTAGCTTCACCCACAGACCCACCCCCAAACTACCTAAAATAGATATTCAGTGGAAACAATAACTGTGTGCCTGTAAAGATATCTTCAAGTAATGTCCTCTAACCCAGAGCTGCACCCCTACTCCTTTCATTCCAAGTTTTAACTCAAATTCTGTCTTATATAGATATTTTGGAGCCACCAGTGAGACTTGACTATTGTCCTTTAGGAAGCAACAGAGACCTTATGGCCCCAAACCCTAAAATATTTACTGCCTGGCCCTTGGCAGGAAGTAGTTACCGAATGGTTGTTTACTGAGCAAAGTTGATATGCATCCATTTATAGTCCAAGTATTTATTAAGCATCTATACATCAAGTACTATGCTGTTATTTTCTATTTAAGGAGATTTCAGACAAATGAAAGATATAGACAACTTCTTAAAATGCTCACTAAGTGCTACTTTAGGGGCAAAAATAAGTTGTAAGATGAGCATATATAGGAGGCAGTAACCCAAAACTGGAGAGGGGGGACTGTAACCAAGAAAGGTTTCCTAATTAAAAAGTTTTCTAAGTTAATACTAGATGATTAGAAAGAGTTCACCAGGCAAAGGGGTAGAAGGAACAGCAATTACAAAGACCCACAGAAAAATTGGGAACTTTAAATATTTCAGGGATGCTGGGTGCTGTGACTTGAGCCTTGTAATCCCAGCCACTCCGAAGGCTAAGGCGGGAAGCTAAGGCAGGAGGATCCCTCGAGGCCAGGAGTTCAAGACCAGCCGTGGCAACATAGCAAAATCCCCCCATCCCCGCACCCCACCAAACTCCACCCCATCCATCTCTTTAACAAAATAAAAACAAAAACAAAACAACAATATATATCAGAGAAATATATCAGAAAATGGTCAGCAAAGGTTTAGAGATACCTATGTCAGGCTGATTGCATGGTAGTGGATGGAAGAACTGTCATTAATTTATTAAAACAGCACAAGTTGAGCCACCAGCCTAAGGTCAGAAAACATAGCCATCCACATGTGTGTCTTAGGATAAAAGGCGGGAAATGATTGTTGAGGGAAGCTGAAGTGCCACAGTAAAGGCTGGTTTTGTAGGAGGGTGACAGGATAGGAGTCAAAGGATTGGGATGAAATGTAACTGCAAGCCAGTAACCCTGACCTGGACAGGAAGATAGTGGTCTTGCTGGCGGTGTTCAGGCTCTTTAAGTACGTTTCCATAGACAAAGAACCTTAGCAACTCTTCTGGGACCTGCTCTCTGGTTGCAAGCTTTGCCTCCCTAGCAAATGAAGATAAAATAACCTTCTTCATTAATCTTTCCAAATCCCTCGGCAAGCCACATCTGAAATTCTTTCCCTGCTCCCCGACTCCTTTAAGAGAAAGAAAAATTGTCTGGCTCTGTCATCCAGGGAATGAGCCACCATATCCAGCCCACATCTGAAATTCTTTTGATGGTTATAAAGCCTTTTATCCCAGGATTAAAGATAAAGACTTAAAATGCAAATGTTGGCCGGCGCGGTGGCTCATGCTTGTAATCCCAGCACTTTGGGAGGCCGAAACCCAGCTACTCAGGAGGCTGAGGCAGGAGAATCACTTGAACCTGGGAGACGGAGGTTGCAGTAAGCCAAGATCGTGCCATTGCACTCCAGCCTGGGTAACAAGGCGAGACTCCATCTCAAATTTAAAAAAAAAAAATGCAAATGTTGATTGGGGTTAAAATATTGCAATTTTTTTCTGACTAAAGTACAATCATAAAATGAACAAACAGCTATCAGATCCTTTCCAGTTTTAATTTATCGGACTTTGAGGGAAGGGAAGGAATTTCTTAGATCCTTACTTATTATAGGCTAGTCTTGCTTATTCTCAAATGGAGCTAGGGAGGAATGGGTAAAAACTAAGAAGACATTTCGTCCGATTTAGGAAATGTGTGTTTTGTTTTAGTTGAGGTATGTCTTATTTTGTAAGATACTGTATATATTTTTAAGTAATTATTTGAGAGCATTGTTACAGATATATCACTTTTTAGGGAAAGATTTTTTTTGCCCCAGTTTATAGCTATTTGGTTTAAAAATTTCATTTAATTTTCAGAATTTTTGCCAGACTCCTCTGCCCCAATAAAAGGCTCTAGATTAGGTGTATCTTAGGTGCTCCCCAAACCCCTGGCCACCCCATGCATACCTTTTCATTATTCACTGTTTAATTCTCTGTCTCCGAGTCTAGATCCTAAGTCTCCATGAGAGCAGGGACTATTCAATTTTGTCTACTGCGTATTTCCCAGTTCCTAGCTCAGTGTCTGGTGCTCAAAAAATGTTCTTCGATAAATAGATGATAATAATATTGAAATATTGTGTATATTTCTTTGATTTGTTAGTAACTACAAATAGTTTATTGTGTATATGTCAATTAGCAGAAGAAAAAGAGCAGTTGTGCTCTTTTTTATAAGCATTTTTAGGAGTTACTGTGCACCTTATTACAAGAAAAGTGGCCAGGAATGGTGGCTTACACCTGTAATCCCAGCACTTTGGGAGGCCAAGAAAGGCAGATCCCTTGTGACCAGGAGTTTGACAACCAGCCTGGGCAACATGGAGAAACCCCATCTCTACAAAACAAAACAAAACAAAACAAAACAAACAAAAAAATTAGCCAGGTGTGGTGGTGTGGGCCTGTAATTCCAGCTACTCGGGAGGTGGGAGAATCACCTGAGCCGGGGAAATCAAGATTACAGTGAGCCATGATTGTGCTACTCACTGCACTCTAGCCTAGGCAACAGAGTGAGACTCTGTCTCTAAAATAAAATAAATAAAATAAAATAAAAGCTTAGGCTATAAAAAACAAAATTTCTATTAACATGGTCTTACTAAATACATATTGTAGGCCGGGCGTGGTGGCTCATGCCTGTAATCCCAGCACTTTGGGAGGCTGAGGCGAGTGGATCACTTGAGGTCAGGTGTTCGAGACCAGCCTGGCCAACATGGTAAAACCCTGTCTCTACTAAAAATGCAAAAATTAGCCGGGCGTGGTGGCAGACACCTGTAATCCCAACTATTGCAGAGGCTGAGGCAGGAGAATCACTTGAACCTGGGAGGTGGAGGTTGCAGTGAGCTGAGATTGTGCCACTGCACTCCAGCCTGGGCGACAAGAGCAAAACTCCGTCTCAAAAAAATAAAATAAAATAAATAAATAAATAAAATACATATTGTGTTTTATGTTTAATAAAGGGAATACAGGGAAGCTTTCCCTTTTCCCTTGGAAGGTTCACTGAAAAATCAACTGTCAAATGGCAGACTAATAGGAAAAAAGACATACAAAATTTATTTTAATGTGCATAACACAGGGAGATTTCAGGAGAATGATTACCCAATGACTCAATGGGGTAGAGACGTTTATATACTCTTCTTTATGGGGGAAAGGGAGATTGGGGAAATGTGGCAACTTAAGGTATAGTAAAGGACTTTTAGGGGAAAATGGGGAACATACAATGGCCTGGGAAAAAGTGTGTTGAGCCCATACAGCAGACAATAGTTTGTGACAAAAGTCTGTCCAAGAGTGTTGACAGACTTCAGTCTTTCTTCCTCCAATATGAGTTAAGTAAATGAAAAATCAGGTAAGGCAAATATGTTCCTCTTTGGCAGGTCTAGTTTCTAGGCAGATAAGGGAAATTCAGAGAACGACATCATTTGGTGCTTTGGGAGAGACAAAGAATTGAGAGGCAGGAGGGGTAATGGGGAAGGTAAGAGACACCTTGAAGCTGCTTCCTCAGTTCAGCGCGGCAAAGCACCATATTTTGGGGTATCGATTTCTGAGTCCCAACAATTTTTACATCACGTTCCAGACACATTTTATGACTTTTCTTCACTGCATACTTCTTTAAAACTCATCTTACTCTATTTTTCTAAAGGTATTTGCATTAAATGTGCAAAATACTAATGCTCTAAAGAGGAATATTTTGAAATATTAAGAATTATTTATATTTCAATGTAAAAAATGTGATTTTTTTTCTAGAAATAAAATTTCAAATTCAAATAGTTGCTTTGGGGTTTTTATAGAAGATGCATATATATATACAGATATATATATGTTCATTTCTATTAAAATCAATGTGCTAATGTTCATATGTGTTAATATTAATAAAGGTCCTAGGATTAAATTTATTCTGAAATAGACTCCTAGGATTGTGAAAGTTTGAGGTTAGTCTGGCAAAAGACACATTTAGGGGAATATCTTTCTTTAAAAAAAATTTTGTTTTTTTGCTGTCTCTTGATCTCCCGCCTCACACATTCCACTTTATTGACATTATAGAAAAATTAATTCATTTCAACAGCACTTTTACTTGCATTGCTTTTTTTTTTTTTTTTTTTTTTTTTAGACGGAGTCTTGCTCTGTCGCCAGGCTGGAGTGCAATGGCACAATCTCAGCTCACTGCAACCTCCGACTCCCGGGTTCAAGCAATTCTCCTGCCTCAGCCTTGCGAATAGCTGGGATTGGTGGCACGCACAACCACGCCCAGCTAATTTTTGTATTTTTAGTACAGACGGAGTTTCACCATGTTGGCCAGGATGGTCTCGACTCCTGACCTCGTGATGCGCCCGCCTCAGCCTCCCAAAGTGCTGGGATTACAGGCGTGAGCCACCGCGCATGGCCACTTGCACTGCTTTTTAGCAGCGAGCTCTCAGGTCAATCAACTGCTTCCTTAGGTTTACAAACTGTGGGTGTGTATTTATAAACACAGTTGTTTTGTATATCCTTTGTAGAGCACGTGGTGAAAGTGACACAGGAATAAATGCAAACCTTTTTTTCCCCTTCTTTTTTCAAAGACATAAATCCCAGGAACACTCACAACCGCAGAAGGGGATTTGATGGACATACAAAGAAACTAAATTTTGTACCGCCGCAGAAGTGAAGCATGGATAAGCTCAAAGGTATTTAGGCAGTGTTTTATTTCAAGATTTGTTATGGGGACCTCCGCCACGCCCTGGTCCGCCTTCACCAGGCCGGGCAACACTGCCCAGTCCCTGAGACCCGGCCGCCCACTAGGGAGCCGCGGGGGCGAGGCCGTGGGGGTGGCCTCGGGGAGGAGGTCCCGAGAACCACACTTCCCAGAGTGCCGTGCGCAGCCCCGCCCAGCCCGCCCCGCCCCCAGAGGCCGCGGCTCGCGGGGGCTGAGGCGAGAGGACGCCAAGCGCCCGCCGGGGCTCCGCGGGGCCGCGCAGGAGAGCGCGCGTCCGCCGGGTGCTCGCGCGGGGTTGGTGAGGTTCCGCTGAGGGCGGCCGGGGCTCTGGGAGCGTGGTAACGTGGCTGCAACCTTAGCGACATCAGGAAGAACAGGGTCGAGGATCGAGGTAACGGGACGCTCGTCTCCCCTCAGTCCCCTCGTCTCCCCTCAGTCCCCTCTTCCTTTGTGCGGTGCCGTCCGCTCGCGCCGAGCCCTCCCTCACCCCAGCCCCCAAGTCGCAACACCGTCCCGTCTTGGGTCTCCGGTGTGCGGAGGAAATTCGAGCCCTCGTGCACCAACCGAAACTCCACAGCTGAGAGGGCTTGGGGCCCGGACAGCAGGAGATCCAGCCCCTGAGCAACCTTCCACGGCTTTTGTCGCCCCCATTGGCGGGAGGAGCAGGGTTATGCTCCCGGCTCCCGTAGGGGAGCTCCAGCCTCTGGCTCTGTCAGCCTCCCCGGCAGCTCCTTGACTCCTTCCTCCCAGTCTTTCGAAGAGGGGCCCAGGCAGGTGCTTCGCGGGGTCCAGGAAGAGGGCAGGCGCGGTGCGGCTGGCGCGGGTTCGGGGCCCCGGGAGGGCGGCCGGACGCCCCCTGGAGCCGCGGCCTGCGGGGGCGGGGCGAGTGGGCCACCTCCGGGCCACGCCGCGCGGGGACGAGGCGAGGAAGGCACTGCCTGTCCCCACTCGGGGGGCTTGCTGGCCGCCCTGGAGGTGCCTTCCCGGGAGCGGCGGTGTAGACCTTGTGGAGAGTGCCTCCTGATGTGGAACCAGGAACCGCAGCCTCTTTCTAGACGCTCAGCCGCCCGGTGGAGTTGTTACCGCCACGATGACAGCTCTTTACGCCTTCCACTCCGTGCTGGGTTCAGTTGGCTTGCTGTTTTCTTCAGAGAGAGCGATTTGGCTACATAGCTTGAATTTTCTACGTGTCTCGTGCTTTACTGGACTTGCACTGTTTTTCCCTCTTGGCAGTGTTTAATCGGGTGACTTTTCATAGAAAACGTTCAGTATTTTCATCTGTGTTAATGGCATAACTTTCTTCTTGACTCTGCCCTAAGCTAATGTTACCAGTTTAGAGGGATACTTTGGGAAAAGGTCCTTAGAACCTGGGTTGACATAAGTATTTTATCTGCTGGTTGCACGTTTTTTCCTTTGCATTGTTTTTCTCCTATACAAGATGGTAATTGTTGGACTCTTGGTGTTCTTTATTCTCTCTCTAGAAGGAAATCCTCTTCGCGCATCTTTCTCGTGTTCTGGCCCTGCGGTACTCTTGGGTACGCAGAGGACTGCTGCTAACAGTGCTGGCGCCTGGAACGCTGCTTGGAGATGGCGGTGGCATTAAGCTGCTGCTTTTCCTCAGACTTCCTCCTGGCACCCTTCTTAATTTGTCAAACTGACCCAGTTCAAACTTCAAACTTTTAGTCACTTTATTTATTTCGTCACTTTTTAAAAAAATTGCTTTCAAGATACCAAAATTGCGTAAGCCTAAATATAAAAAGAGGTGTCTCAGGGGCCGGGTGCAGTGGCTCACGCCTGTAATCCCAGCACTTTGGGAGATTGAGGCGGGGGGATCACTTGAGGTCAGGATTTTCGAGACCAGTCTGGCCAACATGGTGAAACCCCATCTCTACTAAAAATAACAAAAATTAGCTGAGCGTGGTGGCACATGCCTGTAGTCTCAGCTACTCGAGAGGCTAAGACAGGAGAATGGCTTGAACCCGGGAGGCGGAGGTTGCAGTGAACCGAGATCATGCCACTGCGCTCCAGCCTGGGCGACAGAGTGAGACTCCATCTCAAAAAAAGAAAAAAAAAGTCTAAGGATACTCTATTCAACTACATATGAGCACTTAGCTTCATCATTTTAATTTTTAAAGCTGCCAATTCTTTTAGCATTTGATAAGATTACTGATAATTGGTTAAGATGATATATTCTGTAATAATTGCACATTTTTTGACAAGAAACTCAGTTCACATTCAGTGAGGGTTATTTTTTAAAAACAGTATTTCTTCATTCATTAAGAAGAAAGTTAGGGCCGGGCGCGGTGGCTCACGCCTGTAATCCCAACACTTTGGGAGGCCGAGGCGGGCGGATCAAGAGGTCAGGAGATCAAGACCATCCTGGCCAACATGGTGAAACCCCATCTCTACTAAAAATACAAAAAAATTAGCTGGGCATGGTGGCGCATGCCTGTAGTCCCAGAGACACGAGAATCACTTGAACCTGGGAGGTGGAAGTGAGCTGAGATCACGCAGCTGCACTCCAGCCTGGCAATAGAACGAGACTCCATCTAAAAAAAAAAAAAAAGTTGGGTAAATTTTGATCCCACCTGCTATTTTGAAAAATGAATTTTCTTTTTTAGAGCAGTTGTAAGTTCACAACAAAACTGAGTGGAAGGTATAGAGATTTCCCATGTATCGCCTACCCCTACAGAGCCAAAATCTCTCATCAGAGTGGTACGTATATTACAATTGATGAACCTACATTGACATGTTATCACATCCACAGTTAGGATTCATTCTTGGTGTTAAACATTCTGTGGGTTTGGACAAATAACCCTTTTGTTTTTATCAAGAACTTTTGAGAGTTGTAGAGAACTGAAATGGATATTGTCATTTTAAAAAGATTAAAGAGACTATTGCAGACATCTTAAACATTAATTTCAGATAGTTTTTGTGTTTTATAAATTGAATGTTTAAATTTTTGGTTACTTATATTGGAATTCCCAAGAGTCACATTTATTTTTGTATATTAAGAACTAAAGGGCCCCACATGGTAGCTCACACCTGTAACTGCAATTTGGGAGGTCAAGGCAGGAGGATTGCTTGAGCCCAGGAGTTTGAGACCATCCTGGGCAACAAAGTGAGACCTTTCTCTATATTCCAAAAAAAAAAAAAAAAAAGAGGCCAGGCTCGGTGGCTCATGCTTGTAATCCTAGCACTTTCAGAAGCCAAAGCAGGCCAATTGCTTGATCCCAGGAGTTCCAGACCAGCCTGAACAACACGGCGAAACCCTGTGTCTACAAAAAAACAAACAAACGAACAAAAATTACCCAGATGTGGTGGTGTGCACCTGTGGTCCCAGCTACTCGGGAGACTGAGGTGGGAGGATCACCTGAGTCCAGGGAGGTCAAGGCTGCAGTGAGCCATGATTGCATCACTGCACTCCAGCCTGGGTGACAGAGTGAGACCCTATTTCCCCCCACCCCCAAAAAAAGCAAGAGATGAGGGAGGATAAATGTTTCATAAAATAACAAAATGTTGTTTTCAGTCGCTAAAATTCACTTGACTATGTCTTTTTTTTTTTTCTGAACAAAATGGTTTATATTAGCCAAAGAAACAAGAGGGAGTTGAGCATTTTAAATAAATTAATTTTTGTTTACTCATGTCAAGATATGTCTGCAATAAAAATGTCACCCATTAGTCTATTTTTAAAAATTCTGTTTTCTCTGTTTTGAGGAGCTTTTATGGAAGCACCAGACTATAATATTGTTCTGAGCTCACTTCTGGTACTACACAATTCTCTATTAGAATCCCAGATCTCCACTTATTGGCTGTGTGAGCATGGCAAGTAATTTTCTAAACCTCTTTCCTTAGCTGTGGAAGGGGGATAAAAATAATACGTACTTCTATTTTACCAGAATTGAGGATTATTTGGTGTTGTATGTGAAAACATTCTCTAAGCTATAATCAACTATAATATTCATTGATATTACTAGTCACATGCTGTATTTTAAAATGCTGCCAGTACAATTTATTTTCTGGTGGATATTGCTATATAGATACTGTCAGCTGCTTTTTTTTTAAATGGGTTGGTCATGCAAGAAAGTATATTGTTTGGTTTGGTTATGAATGATTTAGTTGGTTCTTATGAGTCAGAGAGAGAATTATGGAAGAGGGTTGGAGGGACCTTGGGAAATTTTCTACTTCATCTCTCTGACTCTTAACCTGAATCTGTTAGCGTGAGCATAAATGGTCTTCCAAGGGTCTGTGAACTCTGTATATTTATACTTTTCTGGGGAGAAATTAAATGAAAATTTATACTTTTCTGGGGAAAAATTAAATTAAAAGAGCATCATGACCTTGTTCCCACTAAAGGTTTAGGAAACCACTAGCTTCAATGATCTAGGCAGGTTTCTTTAGTAAAAATGTTAGAGATTATTTTTAAAATTAGTTTTTTGTGGAAAGGAAAGAGAAACAGGTTATATTGCGGAAAGGAAAGAGAACAGGCTATTTTTGAAGCACTGAGTATCTGTTTTTCTTCCAAAGCTAGAAGTTGATATTTATGATACACTACCTTCATATGAATAATAGTGCTGCTACTTCTACCTGGAAGTGGTACCTTTGATTGATTCATTATCATTAGGCAGGTATTGTCTACTCCTCTCTTCTTCCCCACCCCCAGCCTTGATGGGCAATACAGTGGAGGCAGAGAATGGGACTTTAATACAATCCAGCATGTCAGAATATTATTTAAAATGCCAAAAGATAATTTGGCTTGTTTATTCTAAATTTGGATGTTCTTTGTTTTCACAACAAAACACCCAATGTTAAAGAAAATTAAGTGTTTAATCTTTCAAACTAGATGATGATATATACATAATCTGTTGTATGATATTTCTTGTATATCATAGAGTATAAAATTTTATTAAATCCTAATTGATGATCACTTTGACTTTTAGTACTGCTAGTTTGAAAAGATGGATATGTATGTTTTCAAGAAATTTACAGTTTGCTTTTGTAGATTATATTATAATTTGTGATTTTCATTTATAACATTTAAAACTTATTTGCTTTTTTTGAATTTCTGAATCGGACATACTTTTAAATCTGAGTTTATTCTTATAAGAATAAGCGTTTGGAATTTTGCCCTGTTTTCCTTGTATAATGATTGCTGGGCTATAAGGCTTTACAGTGTAAAACCAAGTTCTGTTCTGGATCAGTTACTAGTAGCATTCCCAAGGCTGGGAGAGTATGAGGTGGATCAAGTGATGCTAAACAAACTTGTGAATGAATCTGTCCATCAAGTAATGTCTTTTTCCTTGAGATCTTTTTTTCCTTTGATATTAATATTTTCATTTAAAGTTGAAATGTTTTTCAAAGTTCAAGGTTCTAAACCAATATTTGGGAATTTATAGAATAAAGTAGCAGAAGTGTGGTTCTTTGTAAAAATAGTCTGAGAAGTCTGAAATAGACCTCAAAGATTAGTAGTAGAGATGAATGCCAATATTGCAGCATACTTTATATATAAAAGATAAGTCACTACGTTGGATCTTTAGTTATTTTAATGCAGAGGATTGCTTAACTTTAATAATGAAAGTTTGAATTAAATTAATTAGATATGGAAAACAAAAGGGAATAATTTCAGCAAAAATTTTACCTATGGGAATCCAATCATTTTAAGATCAGTGATTTGTATGGCTTCTCCTACACTTAAACCTTAAAAAATTCTGGCCGAGCGGGGTGGCTCACGCCTATAATTCCAGCACCGTGGGAGGCCGAGGCAGGTGGATCACTTGAGGCCAAGAGTTCCAGACCAGCCTGGTCAACATGATGAAACCCTCTCTCTACTAAAAATACAAAAATTATCTGGGCATGGTGGTGCACAGTTGTAATCCCAGCTACTTGAGAGGCGGAGGCTGGAGGATCATGTGAACCCAGGAGGAGGAGGCTGCAGTGAGCTGAGATTGTGCCACTGCACTCCAGCCTGGGTGACAAAGCAAGACTCCATCTCAAAGAAAAAACAAAACCAAAAAAAAACCTTTAAAAATTCCTGAAACATTTCCTGTATAGGGAGAATATTATTAATACCACTATTTTGGTTCTCATTGTCATTTACACATAGGCACCTCCATACAGAGATAACATTAATTCTGTCTTTGGCCTAGTGATAAGAGCTTGGGCTTTGTAGTCAGGCAAGTCTCTATTGAATCCTCGACATTGCACTTCATAGCTATGAGACCTTGGTTAGGTGTCTTAACTTCTCTGGGCCTCATTATCCAAAACTGCAAAAAAATAGGAATTTTACCTCTTTGAGTTATCCCAAGGATTGAAATGAATACATGTAAGTATTTAACTCATGATGACAATTATATATATATATATATATATATATATATATATATATATATATATCTGTTATGTGCCAGTTTGTTAACTCATTTAAGTTTTATAGCAATCCTATGAGGTTGATACTATTATTTTCCTCATTTTTACAGATGAGGAAACTAAAGCTAATGAAACGTTATGTAACTTAACCAATATCATACAATGAATATACAACTAATAAGTAGATAGAAGCACCCAATTAATGCTTGCTGTTGTCATTAAAAAAAAAAAGATGACTTAGGGTATTACCATCTTTTCTATAGTGGGTTCCTAATAATTGCAATCTCATGTAGAGCATTATAAAGCATATTTTATTTCTTTGCTGGAAAAAATGTTGATTGCAGGACTGTGTTCCTGACCAAGGACTCAGGATCACATAATTTATAAAAGTAATAACATCTGTTTATTGAATCTTACTATGTACTAGATACAGAGCTAAATACTTTATATAAATTACTTCACTTACCCATCACAACAACCTTAGAGCTGAGGCTCAGAGTAATTTTAAGTAACTTGCCCGAGGCTGCACAATTAACACAGAATCCCAAAACTGTCTAGCTCTAAAGTGTCTGCTGCTAACCGCCAGTTTATGTGCCTTGTGTCGCGTATGGCTGACAGATATCTCTCAAAAGCAAGGCAACAGCTTCTATAATTTTAAATAGCAAAATGTGCTACTGTAATTTTGAACCAGAAGGAAACTGATTACCTACTGCCTGTAGGCTAAACCAAGCTTGCTGCCTGTTTTTGTAAACAAAGTTTTATTGGAACACAGCCATGCTGTGTTCTTTTAAAAATAAAGACATTGAGACACAGAGAGATTAGGTAACTTCCCAGTAATGTAGCTAGTAGTAATCTAATGTCAGTAACTATGTTAATAAGCCTCTGAAAGTCTGCCAATCCCTGAATCCCATGCTACCCCCTAAACTCTATGTAAGCTCAGCAATGTGCTCTATTCAGAGGGACCGTGCCTGGATGGCATAGCTATCCCTTCAGTAAGTAGTAAATTCAGCTTTGTGCTTTTCGTTTGGTTTCAAACATCCAGTGTGAAATATTCCATACTTTGATACTTGGCAACAAATTATTGATAAATTAATTTTTTAGTAGGCATTGTTATCTTAAGTACAACCCTGTCACTTCTCTGACATTCTCAAATAAAAATAATGAGTAATATAGGCCCCTGTTAAGGTTCATGCATGTAGTTCGCATATTTAGGTAAAATTCAAGATCTTTCTTTTAATACTTTATACTAGACTTTTAGACCACTATGATTGTGATAAACTAAGTGGCCCAGTTCAAACAAGGAAATGATTACTGTAAGGTGTCAAAGGAATTCCTTTTTAATAAAACAGATCCCAAAATAAACATCTTACAAAGTATTCAGTGTAGTGAAAATGTTGTTTATAGACCCTAGAAATGACATTAGTATTTAACAAGCAGGCTTTGATAATAGTAGTATCTAATATTGCGTGTGTCATTTAAGGATGGGGATACACTCTTAAGAAACATGTTAATAGGCAATTTTGCCATTGTGCAAACGTCATAGAGTATACTTACACAAACCTAGGTGGTATAGCCTACTACACACCTAGGCTCTGTGGTGTAGCCTGTTGCTCCTGGGTTACAAACCTATACAGCATGTAGTAACATGCTGAATAATATAGTCAATACTGTAACACAGTGGTTACCTATTCGTGTGTCTAAACAGAAAAGGTACAGCAAAAATAAAGTGTTATAATCTTATGAGACTATCATCTATGCATTGGTCACCATCATCATCTATTGTGGACCAGAACACTGATATGCAGCACATGACTGTAAAGACTGTAAATGCTATTGTTAAGAAAATTTTTTTTTTTCTTTTTGAGATAAGGTCTCACTGTGTCGCTTAGGCTGGAGTCCACTGGCAAGATCATGGCTCACTACAGCCTTGACCTCCCTGGGCTCAGATGATCCTCCTACCTCAGTCCCCTGAGTAGCTGGGACTACAAGTGCAAGCCACCTCACCTGGCTAATTTTTTGATCTTTTGTCGAGACTGGCTCTCACTATGTTGCTCAGGCTGGTCTTGAACTCCTGGTAGGCTCAAGCAGTCCTCCCAGCTCATTGGTAACTGGTTGTTTTTAGCTTTTCAGTTTTCAAAAAAAAATTACTAGGTTGTATAACTCACAGCCTAAGTCATCAAGATATTTCTTAAAAGGTGGAACTGTTACATGAGAGGGCACGTAAATTAAAAAGATTTTGGATATCTTAGCTAAATGGAGCCTAGGAAGGCTTATATGAACAGCAGTGTGAGAGTGTTTATTTCCTGACAGCCCTACCAATTTTATTTTTTGTCTTTGGCAATATTTAATTTCATTGATTAATAAGGATTTTTAAATATTCTCATTGATCATTTTCCCTTTCATTAAATCTACCTTTTTTCTATACGTAAGGACAGTTTTCAGCAGACAGTGTTGCTGTACTACTAACTGAAGGCCATGTTATTGTTGGTCTTTACTCAGTTATTGTTCAAGAACACATCTGTCTAAAAGAGGACTCTGACATCGAGCTGTTGCAGGCATCTAATTCACACTTAAGTTTAACTATGACTTTGACTTCAGCACCAGTGACCTCTCTAATCAGTCTTTCCAGTAACCTACTAGATCTCTCCATTGGGTCTCCTATCAGTGTTGAATTTCAGCACGCCCTGACTTCCAGTTAGGAAATTATTCTTTCCAACTCAGTGATCTCGGCTCATTGCAACCTCCATCTCCCAGGCTCAAGTAGCTGGGACCACAGGCATGTGCCACTATGCCTGGCTAATTTTTGTATTTTTTGTAGAGATGGGGTTTTGCTTTGTTGTCCAGGCTGGTCTCAAACTCCTGGGCTCAAGTGATCTGCCTGCCTTGGCCTCCCAAAGTGCTGGGATTACAGGCTTGAGCCACTGTGCCTGGCCAAGAAAAACATTTTTTTAAAGTCACGGCAGTAATTTGTTGGAAGTCATGTATACTTTGAGTAGGAACTATTGAAGCTATTATACAGTTTTTCAAACCAGCAGATTCTCGTTTAATGATTGGTATATTTTGGACTGTTTGATTCAAAATTTTAAATGTAAATAAAAAGGAAATAATGAGTATAGCCTACTTTTTTCCTGACTTAAAAGTAAAAATGGAAATTTTAAGAAGAGTATTACCTTTGAAATAAAGTGATTCAAAAATTGAAGTAAATGTCTTATGCACAGTGTTACTTTAGTTAAAATTATTTAAGCATACATTAATTTGGATTATAGTAGAAAAATAATCTCTAGTGTTCATAATCTGTTCATCCATTATAAAAATATTTTAAGTACTTCTGTTTGTTTATTGTGTTATATGTGTTTACTGAACATGGGAGTAATAGCAGTGAAGAGAGACGGTGCCTATACTTTAGGGGCTTATGTAGTGTTACAGGGAAGACTAGTAGTGAATAGGCACTTATAAGTATTAAGTATTTTGAATTTGACCAAAAATTGAATAGGGTATACTTTGTGATAAGTATAATGAAAAAAATATCAGACTTTTGTGGGAGCACAGAGGAAGTACACTAGGAATAGGAAGATGTTTTGGGATGGCCTTCCTGAGCAGATGAACCTGGGCTGATCTTAGAAGATGAGCAAGAGTTAGCAGGAGAGAGGGGTGGTAAAGGGCATTTCAGAAAGAGCAGAAAGCCTGAAAGGAGGCAGAGAGGTGTGAAATAGCCTAAAGTATGTGGAAAATTAAACACATTCAGGTTTTGCTCTATGGAACATGGGGTGGGGTTTGCCATTTTGTTATTTCACAAGTATGCAAGAATTGATTTTGGTAAATGCACACACGTCTTCCATCAACTTTCAGGGGTAGCTCTAAAATTAATCACATACTGCTATAAAATATAATCTTTTGTATCCAAAATCTTCATCTAACTGAATTGTAAAATAACTTCTTTAATTATTATTATTATTATTATTGAGATGGAGTCTCGCTCTGTCGCCCAGGCTGGAGTGCAGTGGTGTGAACTTGGCTCACTGCAAGCTCTGCCTGCCAGGTTCACACCATTCTCCTGCCTCAGCCTCCCGAGTAGCTGGGACTACAGGCGCCCGCCACCATGCCTGGCTAAGTTTTTTGTGTTTTTTTTAGTAGAGACGGTTTCACCGTGTTAGCCGATGGTCTCGATCTCCTGACCTCGTGATCCGCCCGCCTCGGCCTCCCAAAGTGCTGGGATTACAGGCGTGAGCCACTGCAACCAGCTGGCATTGAGTTCTTTAAGAGGTGCTTTCAAAGTGCCATTTGGGGCTGGGCGTAGTGGCTCATGCCTGTAATCCCAGCACTTTGGTAGTCCGAAGCCGGCAGATTGCTGGAGCTCACGAGTTCACCACCAGCCTGGGAAACATGGCAAAACCCCATCTCTACAAAAAATACAAAAATTAGCCCGGTGTGGAGGTGTGTGCCTGTATGTAGTCCCAGCTACTCAGAAGGCTGAGGTGGGAGGATGGCTTGAGCCCGGAAGTCAGAGATTGCAGTAAGCCAAGATTGCGCCACTGCACTCCAGCTTGGGCCAATAGAGCCAGGCCTTGCCTCAAAAAAAAAAAAAAAAAAAAAACCCAAAACGGAACACCAAGTGCCATTTGGAGTTCCTCTTTCTGTTTAGTAGTCTTTTGATTAATGTGTAGTATGAAAACACAGTCACTGTGCTGCAAAGAGTTATGAGGATAATACAGTGTAAAGTGAGTTAGTACAGTATTCAGCGTAATGGTATTACATATTAATATCACATGCTAAATGTGATAGAAATTATAAGTACAAAGGAAGCTAGAGAACGAGAATAAGGTGGTCTGGCTTAGCACAATAGTATCTTTAAGCTTTTGCTATCAGTCCTGTTTTCTGTAATTCATTGGAAATAATGTTTACTTATAAAAATATATTAGTTTTGTTACATATGCTCTGCGTTGAACTATAAACCTGTCTGCTTCTGTTTGAAGTATTTTCTCTTCATAACTTCCTATTTTGTTGATCGATATGCCTTTACTGGCACTTAGAGGAGCAAAAAAAAAGGAATCAGCTTTCTGTCTGCTTCATTGTCATAATATGCCAACATGTGATAGAAATGGACATCTGTAGCATGTTATGACAATGATGTGCCACGGATGTCCATTTTTTTCCTCTCTGTTGTTTTGTGCTTTTAATCTTTTAATATATTTGAGGAAGGAGGAATATCATTTATTTTTCTCCCTAAAAATCAGAATCTTAGGCATATTTTTAAAAAAATTCTGATTGTTTTAAATTCTGGAGTGTAGGTTGAATTACATATTTACTTGATACTAATATACGGACTTTATAAGTCCTAACGTCTACTGAGTTTCTTAGGCAGAGTGAATAGTCTTTGAGTAAGTACTCTTTTCCTGCTTCTGTCTTCCTGTTCTATTATATATAATAGATTTTTTAAAGTTGAGGACATTGCATTATTTAAACAGACCATTTTAAGAGAATTTGGTATAGACAGCTTTTGAGCTGTTGTGTCCTATCCAAATCTGAATTCAAATGTAAAAATAATTTTATAAAAGTGAATATTTATTAAAGCCCTTTTCATAGAAATAGTACGCTGACAAATGAAAACATTTTGTGACAACAATAATAAAACTTTCACTAGATAGAGCTAGAGTAGTTTGATGTAAGGGGGAAAAGTATATGGTCATTTTGAACTGTATGCATTTTAACTTAGTAAAGTTTAAAAATAAGATATTAGTGATACCTGCTGTCATAATACTCATATAGGACACAAAATATGGCATGACAAAATAAGTGAAAGAAGACTCCTGGGCGCAGTGGCTCAGGCCTGTAGTCCCCGCATTTTGGGAGGCCCAGGGGGGAAGATGGCCTGAGTCCAGGAGTTCAAGACCAGCCTGGGCAACATGGCAAAACCCCATCTCTACAAAAAATACAAAAATTGGCCCAGCATGGTGGTTGCATGCCTGTAGGATTGCTGGAGCCTGGGAGGTCAAGGCTGTGATAAGCCGAGATTGTGCCACTGCACTGTAGCCTGGGTGGCAGAGTGAGACCCTGCCTCAAAAAAAAAAAAAAAGAAAAAAAGAAGAAGAAGACAACTCACTAGACTAACAAGAGTTGACCAAGGTTTGTTTGTTTGTTTGTTTGTTTGTTTTTGGCTAAGCATAGGGGACTTTATTAATGGTACATGACAAGGTGGGGCTCCTGGGCCCCTCCCTCTTCAGGAGTTCTACATGGAAAGTGAGGAGGGGAGATTCTCAGTGTAGTGGGGGACTGAGTGTGGCAGGGACTCCCCAGCAGTGACGACCTCTCTCTTCCTCTCATGCTCTCTCTGGGGCTGGTGGTCTGGTGGTCTTCCTTTTGGAGGCCATGTGGGCCATGAGGTCCACGACCTTGTTGCTGTAGCCAAATTCATCGCTATACCAAGAAATGATCTTGACAAAGTGGTTGTTGAGGGCAATGCCAGCCCTAACATTGAAGGTGGAAGAGTGCGTGTTGCTGTTGAAGTTGGAGGAGACAGCCTGGTGCTCAGTGTAGCCCAGGATGCCCTTGAGGGGGCCCTCCGATGTCTGCTTCACCACCTTCTTGATGTCATCATATTTGGCAGGTTTTTCCAGATGGCAGGTCAGGTTAATGACCGACACCTTGGCAGTGGTGACACAGAAGGCCATGCCAGTGAGCTTCCCATTCAGCTCAGAGAGGGCCTTTCCCACAGCCTTGGCAGCACCAGTAGAGGCAGGGATGATGTTCTGGAGAGCCCTGCAGCTGTCACGCCACAGTTTCCCAGAGGGGCCATCCACAGTCTTCTGGGTGGCAGTGATGGCATGGACTGTAGTCATGAGTCCTTCCACGATACCAAAGTTGTCATGGATGACATTGGCCAGGGGCGCTAAGCAGTTGGTGGTGCAGAAGGCATTGCTGATGATCTTGAGGCTGTTGTCATACTTCTCATGGTTCATGCCCATCACTAACATGGGGGCGTCAACAAAGTGGGGAGAGATGATGACCCTTTTGGCTCCTTCCTGCAAGTGAGCTCCAGCCTTCTCCATGGGGGTGAAAACACCAGTGGACTCCACAACGTACTCAGCGTCAGCATTGCCCCATTTGATTTTGGAGGGATCTCGCTCCTGGAAGATGGTAATGGGATTTCCACTGATGACAAGCTTCCCATTCTCAGCCTTTACGGTGCATGGAATTTGCCATAGGTAAAATCCTACTGGAACATGTAGACCATGTAGTTGAGGTCAATGAAGCGGTCATTGATGGCGACAATATCCACTTTTCCAGAGTTAAAAGCAACCCTGGTGACCAGGCATCCAATACGACCAAATCCGTTGACTCCGGCCATCACCTTCACTACCTCAGCGATGCAGCTGGCAATGCATGAGAAGATGCAGCTGTGTGTCAAATGGGAGGAGCAGAGAGCCAAGTTGACCCAGTTTTTTTCATTGGGGGAAAAAACCCAACCCATAGAGATCGTGTTAATTCAGTCACTCATGACTCCGGCTCATTGTCGGCAAATACATAGATATTGTTAAGACACAGTCTTCAAAAAAGAGTAGACTGTGTTAAGCAGGCAAGTCTAAAATACAAAAGAAAAAAAGTGAACGAGTTGGAGAAATACAGCGTACTATGGGGGTTCACAAGAAAGATCACATCCCATTGGGAGAATTAGGAAATAATTCATAAAAAGGAATTATTTAAGTTGGGCCTTGACATCATTCCCTCACAAGGAATAGCTTGAGCATTTGCAAATACATTTGAGGAAAACTGAATAATTAAATCTGTGATATAGTAGAAAAAGAATGGACTTAATCACAGCTGGATTGAAACCCCATCTCCCACCATTTCTACAGAACTGTGTGGCCTTGGGCAAGTCAGGGATGTTAGAACCATCCATAAGGTGATGCTTAAACAAGAGTATATTTAAGATTACTGGCAAAATAGGTGGTGCACAGTGGTTTAATAAGTAGTTTTTCCATCTTCTTTCCCCCTTTCCCTACTTTATGTAAAAAATGAATGGAGAAAAAGACTGGAAGGTAGACTAGAGCCAGAGCAATGAGGACCTTGAATGCCAGGATAAGCTGAGCTACATACATTAAGCAGTTTGGAAAGGACAGTTTGAGTTAGATAAATCCAGCAGCATCTAATCCTTGAGAGATGTTTATTGATGGCAAGGAGGAATGTGGTGATTGGTTAGGGGAAGTCACTACAATCCAGGTTAGTATGTGGATCTGAACTGGAGTACAATGAGAGAGAATAGAGTTCAATGACAATAGGAAGAAAGGGATGGATGAACAGAGATTTTTCCAAGTAGAATCCAGGAGAATTGAAGTGGATAGGTTGTGAAAGTTGAGAGGAGTCAAATATGGCTCATGTTTTGAAGTAGGGTAACTGAAAAAATGGTGTTGCTACTTGTAAAAGTAGGGGAATCTAAAAGTATAGTGAGGGAGAAGATAAGGACCTTGGTTTTTCATATATTTTGTTCTGTAATTATATTTCACTTCTAAAGTGCTTTGAACTGTAGTGTGGTAGTTAATAGCACAGGCTGGGGAGCCCTGCTGCCTAGGTTCACATCCTGGCTCCACCACTTACTTGGGCTTCACTCCATCTTGCTGTGCCTCAGTTTCTTCAGATAGTTAGGGCACAAAATATGGCATGGCAAAATAAGTGAAAGAAGACTCCTGGGTGCAGTGGCTCAGGCCTGTAGTCCCAGCATTTTGGGAGGCCTAAGTGGGCAGATCGCTTGAGTCCAGGAGTTCAAGACCAGCCTGGGCAACATGGCAAAACCCCATCTCTACAAAAAATACAAAAATTAGCCCTGTATGGTGGTGCACGCCTATAGTTCCAGCTACTTGGGCAGGGGGTGCTGAGGCGGAAGGATAAAGGGCAAAATAAAAGTAGCTACTTCATAGAGTTGTAGTGAGGACTAAATGATTTAATTTACATGCAATTAGAACGATGACGGCAGATAGTGTTTTCTATCGTGATGCTGATGTCTTCCTTTGTGTGTGTGTGTGTGTGTGTGTGTGTTTTCTTGAGTCAGAATCTTACTCTGTCACCCCGGGTGGAGTGCAGAGGCATGATCACAGCTCACTGTGGCCTCGACCTCCTGGGCTCAAGCGATCCTCCCACTTCAGCCTCCCAAGTAGCTGGGACTACAGGTGCGTGCCACCACATGTGGCTAACTTTAAAATCTGTTGTAGAGACTGGATCTTACTCTGTTGCCCAGGCTGGTCTTGAACTCCTGGGCCCAAGCGATCCTCCTAGCTTGTCCTCTCAAAGTGCTGAGATTACAGGCATGTGCCATTGTGTCTGGCCAGCCTTTATATTTTATTTTTATGGGCTGATTTATCCCTTAAGCAGTAGAGTGGCTTGTGATTATATTGCCTTGTGTCTTTTGAGTTTTATCCTGAGTATGTTGGAATGCAACAATCTTTTTTTCCATTTTATTTTTTATCATATAGCAAAATTGACATTTTTGGGGTACAAGTCCATGAATTTTAACAAATGTGTAGATTTATCTAATCATCACCCAAATCAATTTTAAATTAACACTTAAAAAAGATGCAAAATAGTTTCATCATCCCATAAAACTCTCTTTTTGCCGTCTCCTTTTAGTCATACTCTTTCCCTGCCCCTCATCCCTGTCAGCCACTGATCTGTTTTTCATCACTATGATTTTATCCTTTTGAGGATATCATATAAATGGAATCATAGAGTATGTAGTAACCTACTGAGACTGGCCTGTTTCACTCAGCAGCCATTGAGATTCATCCAGGTTGTTGCATGTACCAAGTTTGTTCCTTTTTATTGTGAGGTAGTGTTCTATTGTATGGGTGTACCCACAGTTTGTTTATCCATTGACTTGTTGAAGGTTATTTGGATTATTTTCAGTTTTTAGCAATTGCAACTAGAGCTGCTATATGTTTTCATATGCAAGTTTTTGTGTAAACACGAGCATTCATTTCTCTAGGTTAAACTGCCAGGAGTCAGATTGCTGGGTCATAGTATAAGAATATGTTTAACTGTGTAAGAAACTTCCACCTTTTTTTTTTTTTTAGAACAGTGATGCTGTTTTGCATTGCCACCAGCAGTATATGAAAATTCCAGGTGTTTCACATCCTCACCAGCACTTGGTATTGTTAGTATTGTTTATTTTAGCCATTCTAATAGATGTGTAGTGGTATTTCATTATGGTTGTGGGGTGTGTGTATGGGGATGTGGCAGGGGCTATGTTGCTTAGGCTGGAGTGTAGTGGCTATTCACAGGCATGATCGGATGATAGTGCACTACAGCTTCGAACTCTTGGGCTTAAGCAGTCATCCTATGTAGCTGAGACTACAAGCGCACACCACTGTGCCTGGTTCATTATTTTAATTTTCATTTACGTAATGGCAGTGATGTTGAACATCTTTTTGTGTGCTTATTTTCCATCCATGTGTCTTCACTGGTGAAGTGTCTTAAGTCTTTGGTCCATATTTTAATTGAGTTGTTTTTCGTTAAGTTTGAAAGTTTTATATATTTGGGATGTAAATTTTTTGTCAAATATGTGGTTTGCCAACATTTTTCTCCTGATTTGAAGCTTGTCTTTTTATTCTCTTATGGTGTCTTTCTCATAGCAAAAGGTTTTAATTTTGATGGAGTCCATTTTAGCAATTTTTTTCTTTCATATTTAACAACTAGTAGCCTGACCCCGAGTCATGAAGTTTTTCTGTGTTTTCTTCAAAAAGTTTTATTGTTTTAGGTATAGTTATATATATAACATAAAAATATATTTTATATATTATATAAAATGGATCAGAAACTATATAAAACTATAGCCAGGTGCAGTGGCTTGAAGTTCCAGACTACAGTGTGCTATGTTATGATTAATTTTTTGTGTGTTCACCTTGTTTTTTTTTTTTTTTCTTTTGTGAGACAGAGTCTTGCTCTGTCACCCAGGCTGGGGTGCAGTGGCACATTTTGGCTCACTGCAAGCTCCGCCTCCCAGGTTCACGCCATTCTCCTGCCTCAGCCTCCTGAGTAGCTGGCGCCCACCACCACACCTGGCTAAATTTTTGTATTTTTTTAGTAGAGACGGGGTTTCATCATGTTAGCCAGGATGGTCTTGATCTCCTGACCTTGTGAACCGCCCATCTCGGCCTCCCAAAGTGCTGGGATTACAGGTGTGAGCCACTGTGCTCAGCCATGTTCACCTTGTTTTTAGTGACCTTGCTAAACTTACTAGTTCTAGCTGTTCCTTGGGAATGGTTTACATAGACAATTATGTGTGCTGATAGGGACAGTTTTGTTTCTTTCCAGTCTTTGCCTTTTCTTTTTCTTGCTTTATTGCACTGGAGATAACTTTTACTTCCTATGTGGTTTTTCTTCTTTAGTATGTTGTTGTGGTGGTTTAGTATGGTTTAATATGCTGGTAATATGGTAGACTATATTTTTTTGAATATTGAAGCAGCCTTGCATAAACTCTTAGGATAAATTCTACTTGGTCGTGATCATTCTCTATATTTTGCTGGATTATATTTGCTAATATTTGTTGGGGATTTTTATGTCTGTATTCATGAGGGATATTGATTTGTAGTTTCCTTTTCTGTACTATCTTTGTTTTGGTATCAGAGTCATAGGTTTTCTCATGAAATAAGTTGGAAAGTGTTTTCTCCTCTTCCGTTTTCTGAAAGAGATTTTGTAGAGTCAAGGCTATTTCTTCTTTAAATGTTTGGTAGAATGTAGTGAAACCATCTGTGCTTGAAGATTGCTTTTCAAACCGTGATTTAATTTAATAGTTATAGCAATGCTCAGGTTGTCTTTTGGGTGAGTTTTGGTAGTTTGTGGGTTTTGAGGAATTGGTCCATTTCATCTAAGTTGTCACATTTATGTGTGTAGAATTTTTCATAGCATTCACCTTACTTACCTTTTTAATGCCAGTGGGGTTTGCAATGATAGTCTCTGATATTGCAGATTTTAGTGATGTGTGTCTTCCCTCCCCGCCTTTTTTGCCAGATGTTTATCAATTCTGTTGATCAACAGGCCAGGTGTGGTGGCTCACACCTGTAATCCCAGCACTTTGGGAGGCTGAGGCAGGTGGATCACCTGAGGTCAGGAGTTTGAGACCAGCCTGGCCAACATGCTGAAACCCCGTCTCTACTAAAAATATGTTGATCTTTTAAAAATAGCTTTTGGTTTGGATTTTTATCTATTGTTTTTTATTTTCATTTTAATTTTGTTTGTGCTGTTTATTTCCTTATGCTTGCTTTGAGTTTATTTTGTTCTTTTTCTAGTTTCTGGTTTCTGAAAGTAAAGGCTTAGAATATTGATTTAATACTTTCTCTTTTTTTTTTTGGAGAGGGAGTCTCAGTCGCCCAGGCTGGAGTGCAGCGGTGTGATCTCGGCTCACTGCAAGCTCCGCCTCCCGATTTCATGCCACCATTCTCCTGCCTCAGCCTCAGAGTAGCTGGGACTACAGGCACCTGCCACTACGCCCAGCTAATTTTTTTGATTTAGTACTTTTTTTTGATGTAAGCACATAATTTTCTGAACTTTCACCTAAGCTGCTTTTTTACCTGTAGCCTACAAATTTTGATATTTTGGTATTTTATATTTTCATTTTTGTTAAGAACTAACTTAATGAAGAAATTTCTAATTTCTCTTAGGACTTCCTCTTTGCTCCATGGATTATTTAGATGTGTGCATTTAATTTGTAAGCATTTGGAGAGTTTTCTGTTGTCTTTATTACTTATTTCTAGTTTAATTCCGTTATGGTCAGAGACTACATTTTATACAATGTAATTTCTTTTAAATTTGTTTAGGGTTGTTTATTGACTCAGGATATGGCTTATATAGGTCCATGTGCACTTGAAAAGAATGTATATTCTGCCTTTGTTGGGAGGAGTGTTCTATAAGCACCCATGAAATCCAGTTGGTTAATGATGTGTTCTGTTCTTTTATGTCATTGCTAATTCTCTGCTAACTAGTTCTATAACTGAAGAGGAATGTTTAAATCTCTTCAATTATAATTGTGAATTTGTCTGTTTCTCCCTTTAGTTCTTTTTGGTTTTGCTTTGTGTATTTTGAAGATTTGAAGATTTGAAGTTAGGTGTATGCACATTTAGACTATACTATGTCTTTGGGAATTGACACTTTTGTCATTATGTAGTGTCTTTTTTTATTGCGGTGAAAAACACAACATAAAATTTACCATCTTAACCATTTTCAAGTGTACAGTACACTAGTGTTAACTATATGTACATTGTTGTCCAGCAGATCTCTAGAACTTTATCTTGCAAAACTGAAATGATACCCATTGAACATCTTCTTTCCACCTCTCTTGGCAACCACCATTTTACTTTCTATGAATTTGACTGCTTCAGATATCTCATATAAGTGGAATCAGTGGAACTTGTCTTTTTGTTTCTGGCTTATTTCACTTTGTATAATGTCCTTAAGATTCATCCATGTTGTAGCATATGACAGGATTTTCATCATTTTTGAATCTGAATGGTATTCCATTGTATGTATAAATCACATTTTCTTTTTCCATTTATCTGATGATGTACATTTAGGCTGCTTCTACCTCTTGGTTGTTGTAAATAATGCTGCAGTGAACATGGGTGTGCAAATATGTCTTTACTATCCTGTTCTTACTTCTTTTGGATATATACCTAGAAGTGGAATTGCTGGATTTTATGGTAATTCTATTTCTAACTTTTTGAGGACTATCCATACTGTTTCCATAGCAGCTATGGAAGCCAGTTTACATTCCCACCAGCAGTGGAAAGGGTTTCCAGTTTCTCTAAGTCCTTGCCAACACTTCTTTCTTTCCCCATCCCAACAGGTGTAAGGTGATATCTCATGATTTTGATCTACATCTCCCTGATGATTAGTGATATTGAACATCTTTTTATATACAGTTGACTGTCAGTATCTGCAGGTTAGACATCCCCAGATTCAACCAAACATGGATTGAAAATGTTTTTTAAATCCAATAAAAATAATACAAATTTAAAAAATATAACAACTATTTACATAGCATTTACATTGTCTTAGGTATCATAAGTAATCTAGAGATAATTTAAAAGATAATTTAAAATATGTAGGAGGATGTACATAGGTTATATGCAAATACCATACCAGTTTATATAAGGGACTTAAGGATACAAGGATTTTGGTATCTGCAGGGATCCTGCAACCAGTCCTCTGAGGATACTGAAGAAGGGCTATACTTCTTGGCCATTTATATATCATCTTTGGAGAAATGTCTATTCAAGTCCTTTACCTTTTTTTTTTTCTTTTTTTTTTTTTTTTTTTTTTGAGGCAGTCTCACTCGGTCACCCAGGCTGGAGTTCAGTGGCATGATTACAGCTCACTGCAGCCTTGAATTCTTGGGCTCAAGTGATCCTCCCACCTTAGCCTCCTGAGTAGCTGGGACTATAGGCACATGCTACCACGTCCAGCTAATTTTTGTATTTTTTGTAGAGACAAGGTCTGTGTTGCCCAGGCTGATCTCGAACTCCTGGGGCTCAAACAATCCTCGAGTATCAGCCTACCAGTGTTGAGATTATAGGAGTGAGCCACCACACCTGGCATGTTTTTGGTTTTTGTTTGTTTGTTTTGTTTTGTTTTGAGACAGGTGCTTGCTGTATTGCCCAGGCTGACCTTGAACTCCTGGGCTCAAGTGATCCTCCTACCTTAGCCTCCCAAGTAGCTGGGACTACAGTCATTCACCAGCCATTGCACCCAACCTTTTGCCCATTTTAAAATTGGGTTCTTCATTTTTTTTTTTTGTTTTTTTTTTAATTGAGTTGTAGGAGTTCTTTGTATATCTGGATATTAACCCCTTTTCAGGTATATATTTGCAAATACTATTTTCTTCCATTCTGTAGGTTGCCTTTTCTTCTCTATTGATTGTTTTGCTGCATAGAAGTTTTAAAGTTTGATGTCCCATTTGTCTGTGTTTACTTGTGTTGCTTGTGCTTTTTACATCATATACAAGAAATCATTGATAAATTCAATGTTGTGAATCCTTTTCCCCACGTGTTTTCCTCCAGTAGCTTTATGGTTTCAAGTCTAGTCATTTTATGGTTTCAGGGCTACATTTAGGTCTTTAATTCATTTTGAGTTAGTTTTTGTATATGGTGTAAGGTGAGGGTCCAACTTCTTTCTTTTGCATGGAATATTTTTATATAGTGTTTTTTATCACTAACAATTTTATGTGTTTGATATTATAGCTACTCTTCAGTTTTTAAAAATTCTTTAGGGTTTTTTTGTTGTTCTTGTTACTGTTGGCGTGGTGTGTCTTCTTTCTATCCAATTCCTTTAACCTATTTGTGTCTTTATACTTAAAGTAGGTTTTTTTCTTGTACGCATTTGATAGTTGGGTTTTGCTTTTTCTTATCCAATCTGAAAATCTCTCTTTTTAAAAAAGTCTTTACTTGAGACCATTGTAGATTCACTTGCAGTGGTAAGAAGTAATAGATCTTATGTTTCCTTCACCCAGTTTCCCTCAATGATAACAACTTGCATAACTTTTGTACTAGGAAATTGACTTTGATACATTGTCTAAGGACATTTAGGCTGCTTCTACCTCTTGGTTGTTGTAAATAATGCCACAGTGAACATGGGTGTGCAAATATTCAAATTTCACCTGTTTTACATGCATTCATTTGTGTGTATGTGTATGTTATCACATAGAGATTCATATGATCACTACTGCAGACAAGATACAGTACAGTTCCATCACAAGTATCTCTTGTGCTACTCATTTATAGCCACAGCTACTCCTCTCCTCTCCTCTCATCCTTCCCTAACCTCTGGCAAACAATAATCTGTTCTCCACCTCTATAATTTTGTCATTTTGAGAATGTTATATAGATAGAATCATACTGCATGGCTTTTTTTATTGAGCATACTTTGAGATTCATCCGGTTGTTACATGTTTCAATAGCTTGTCCCTTTTGCTGAATAGCATTCCTGAGTCTCTGCCTTTAATTGGAAGTGGTTAGTCTATTTATATTTAATGTGATTATTGATATTGTTGAGTTTAAATCAACCATCTTACTCAGGGATCAGCAAACTATGAGCTTGGGGATTAAATCACACTCACCAAGTGTTTTTTCTTATTTTATTTTATTAGACACAGTCTCATTCTGTTGTCCAGGCTGGAGTGCAGTGGTGTGATCTCAGCTCACTGCAACCTCCGCCTCCCGGGTTCAAGTGATTCTTGTGCCTCAGCCTCCCAAGCAGCTGGAGTTACAGGTGCATGCCACCATGCCTGGCTGGTTTTTGTATTTTTTAGTAGAGACGGGGTTTTGCCATGTTGGCCAGGCTGGTCTCGAACTCCTGACCTCAGGTGAGCCACCCACCTTGGTCTCCCAAAGTGCTGGGATTATAGGCATGAGCCACTGCACCGGGCCACTAAGTGGTTTTTTTTTTTTTTTAATAATTAAAGTTGTATTGGAACATGGCTTTATTTATTTATTTATTTATTTATTTATTTACTATTGTCTGTGACTGCTTTTGTGTTACAATGACAGAGTTCAGTAGTTGTGATAGAGACCCATATGGCCCACAAAGCCAAAAATATCTACTCTGTGGCCCTTTACAGAAAAAGTTTTTAAGCCCTGATTATGCTATTTGTTTTCTATTTGTCCCATCTGTTTTTTGTTGATTTTGCAGCAGGAATGTGAATTTAAGAGAGATATTACAGTGGCTGGTGCCTGTTAGAATATCTATAGATGCTTTCCTCAGATAAAATTTTAGACCTGACAGAAGGTGTCTATATTCATTTTTTATTGTGTGTAACAAATTACCACAATTTAGTGGCTTAAAATAACATGCATTTATTATCTCACAGTTTCCGTGCATCAGGAGTTTGGGCACAGTGTAGTTGAGTCCTTTGCTTAGGATCTCATAAGGCTGCAATAAAGCTATTGGCCAGGCTGTATTATGTAGAGGCTCAATTATGAAGAAATCTGCTTCCACACTTATTCAGGTCATTGGCAGAATTCATTTCCTTGGAGCTGTATGACTGAGGGCCTGGCTTTTTATTGACTGTCAGGTGAAAGCCTCTCTCAGGTCCTAGGGATTGCCTATAGTTTCCCTGCTACATGACTGTCTCCATGGTGGTTTGCTTTTCAAGGCCTGCAGGAAAGCTTCTTACTCCAGTCTGCTCATACTGTATTCTATAATGTAACATAATCAAGAGAGTGGCATCTCATCACTTTCCCACATTCCGTCAATTAGAAGCAAGTCACAGGTTCTTCCTGCATGCAAGGGGATTATATGAAGACATGACTCATTAAGGATCACTGTCATGTATGTCTGCCACAGAAACCATAAGAAGGCATTAATAACTGTAATCTATAACCTTACATTAACCATTGATTTCTGTCAAAAGCTGGAAATGATGAGATTAACAATAAAGAACCTAATGTAGCTAAAGTTCTGGTTAGAATATTTAGAGTTTTCTGAAACTACATAATAAGCAGAGCTTTCCACTCTAATAATACCAATATTTTAAACAAGCACTTGTAAATTCATTATTGTATTTGATGTATTTCTCAGGATAGTGCCATGAGGTAGATAGGTATCCCTGTTTATAGATGAAGAAACTGAGGATTAGTAAAGCCTCAGTTTTACAAATTACACAGCCTCAAAAAAAATTACACAGCCAGTAAGTGATGGAATAGGTGTTTCATTAGTAACTTAAAATCTCTGTTTCTGTCACCAAAGTAGAATTGTAGCATAGAATTATGGATGGTGTGGATATTCATCAAATATGCTTTGATGATGAGGAAAGTTTGATTTTATATGTAAATACTAATAAGTTCTATGTGAAAATGCAAATAAAATGAGATCTTTTTAAGAGTGCAGCATTTCGTATGTTTGGCAGTAAAATATTTTTAATCCTCAAAATATTTCCTTAAGTGGTATCTCTATTTTACAGAAGAGATCGAGGTCTAAGCAGGTTGTCATTTGCTCAAGCTCATACAGTTGGTATGTGGTAGAACCATAGTCTGACTTCAGAATCTAGGATGAACCTAATTCAATCAAAATATCCTTCTGTTTTGGCATTGCATTACTAAATTGTATAGCTGGAAGGCAGCTATACTAGTGTTTTACTGTATATCTCTATTCCAGTAATTTCATCTCTACTTAATTGTTATCATCTGTTAAGTGGGATTGTTTATCTGCACTTGATAGTAAAATACGGTCTACTTAGGCTTGGATGAAAAAATCTTTAGTGAACTTTACCTATCATCTATAGGATCATGTTGTTCTGCTAAAAAAAAAAAAACTCCCAGTTAAGCCTCAAAACTTAAGATTTTTAGTTCATGGCCACGTATGATGGTTCAAGCATGTAATCCCAGCACTTTGAGAGGCCTAGGTGGGTAGATTGCATGAGCCCAGGAGTTTGAGACCAGCATGGGGAACATGGAGAAACCCCATCTCTAAAATAAAAATTAAAAAATAGAAAAATTTTAGTTCATGGCCTTTCTCTTTGAAGATAGCATATTACACATCTCAAAAGTCATGTGCTCAAGTCAGTTGTTCTTGTTGGATTTTAAAGGAGTTCCTTTATTGATATAAAATAATTAGCAAAAGTGAATTATGTGTTATTTAGCATAAAAACAAAGTTTTTGTTCTTTTATAAATATGATTGATATAGTTATTTTGCATATATAGTATTAACAAATTATAGTTAACAATAATTTTTTTCTTTTCGTTTGTCTCTACCTGTTTTATTGTTGATTTTTCAGTCACAGCAAACTGTACAATGGCAGTTGAGTGGGTTTTGAAAAACGTCTGAATTGTAGTGTCTACATCTACCTTCTGCCTTCTCTCTACCCTTTGAAAAAAAATAAATGGCATGTTTGAGAAGAGAGCTCTATTAAAAGAGGAATATTGCAAATGGCTTCAGATTCTATGAGTAGTAAACAAGCTAGGAATCACATTACAAAGGGGAAAAGGCAACAACAGCACCAGCAAATAAAGAACAGATCCTCAATTAGTGATGGTGATGGAGAAGATTCCTTTATTTTTGAAGCAAATGAAGCTTGGAAAGATTTTCATGGTTCTCTTCTTCGATTTTATGAAAATGGAGAACTCTGTGATGTCACACTCAAGGTGAGATTGCCTTTTTTGTACTTTTCTCAGGCCTCTTCAGTGTAATATGAGAAATGGGGGTTTCTGTAACCATACAAGGCAAATTTTGTTGCTATACATATTTGATACAGTCAGAATGCTTTTAGTCTCAATCTTTTTTTTTAGTGTAGGAGAAAGGACATAGAGGGTAAATGAAGAGAAGTTAGCATAAGATAAAATTATTGTACTAATTTAATGTTGATATTCATTATCTCTTAGTTAACTTCTGAGAGTTCTGAAACCCTAGAACAACAAATATTATTAGTGAAATTAATAAATTGCTGTTGACCAGATAAGCTTTTCACTTGTGAATTTAAATATCTTGATGTATTTGCTTACTCTGAATACAGAAGTAAGTTAGAAGTCAGGAATTTTGGATTGTTTACTCAGCTATACTAGTGTTTTACTGTATATCTCTATTCCAGTAATTTAATCTCTACTTCATTGTTACCATCTGTTAAGTGGGATTGTTTATCTACACCTGATAGTGAAATATAATCTACTTAGCCTTGGATGAAAAAGTCCTCAGTGAACTTTGCTCATCATCTGTAGGATCATGTTGTTCTCCTAAAAGCAACCAGTTTTAATAAAATTGGAAAAGTGATAAAGCAGTATGGAAAAGCCTTTGTTGATTGTTTCTCATTACACATTTAAAGTACTTTCTTCTTATCTCTCAGTGAAATATTAAAATTTTTTGGTGAACTCTTGGGCTTAAGCAGTCCTCCTGCCACAGCCGCCTGAGCAGCTGGGACTAGATGCATGCACCACCGTGCCTGACTAATTTAAAACATTTTTTTTGTAGAGATGGGGTCTTGCTATGTTGCCCAGGCTGGTCTCAAACTCGGGCTCAAATGATCCTACTGCCTTGGGCCTCCCAAAAAGCTGGGATTATAACTGTGAGCCACTGTGCTAATGATAGATAATTATTTCTCATAGTTCTGAAGGTTGGGAAGTCTAAAATCAAGGTACCAGCAAGTTTGGTGTCTGGTGAGGGCTGCCCTCTCTGTTTCTCAGATTTTGCTTGTTACAGCATCCTCCAGAGGGGATGAACACTGTGTCCTCACATGGAAGGCAGAAGGACAAAATGGGCCTAAGCTAGTTCCCTCCAGTCCTCTCTTAAGGCACTAATCCATTCATGAGCACAGAGCCCTTATGATTTCATCATTTCCCAAAGGTTCCCCCTCTTAATATTAGCACAGTGGGGATTAAGTTTCAACACATGATTTTGGAGGACATTTAGAAGATAGCACAGATGTAATTTAATAGAAGAGAAAAATAATAATGGCGAAAGTGATCCTATAGTTAACACTTAAGCATTCTATATTAAGAAATTTTAAGATTCTGTGTTTAAGGAAGATCACCTTTACTTCATCCATTCCGCTAGTAAATCAGTATTTTAATCTTTTTCATGTTTCTCAGAAAGGGGTATAATCATGTGCCACATAAGGACATTTTGGTCAACGATGGACCCCATATACAGTGGTGGTCCCATAAGATTAGAATGGAGCTGAAAAATTCCTATCACTTAGTAATGTTGTAGCTATCATAATGTCCTAGCACAGTGCTTTACTCACATGCTTGTGGTGATGCTGGTGTAAACAAACTTACCTCATTGCCAGTTGTATAAAAGGTATAACACATGGTTATATATAGTGCCTAATACCTATTCATGCTAATAAATGATTATGTTACAGGCTTATGTATTTACTCTACTTCTTATTGTTTTTGTAGAGTGTACTCTTGCTACTTCTAAAGAAGAAACATTACATAAAAAAAGAAAAAAATTGCAGAAAGTTGATTCTTAATAAAAACAAGAAAAGAAAAAACGTTAACTGTAAAAACAGCCTTAGGCAGGTCCTTCAGAAGGTATTCAAGAGGAAGGCATTGTTACTATAGGAGATGACAGCTCCATGTGTCCTCTCCTTTCCAGTAGGACAGGATCTGGAGGCGGAAGACAGTGATATGGATGATCCTGACTTGATATAGATGCAGGCTACTGTCTGAGTTTGTGTCTTAGTTTTTAACAAAAAAGTTTAAAAAGTAAAAGAAAAAAATTTTAAGTAGAAAAAAGTTTTTGGAATAAGCATATAAAAACATTTTTGTAGAGCTGTGCAATGTGTGTGTTTTAGGCTAAGTGTTATTACAAGAGTCAAAAAGTTTTAAAAAATTGAAGTTTATGGAAAAAGTCACAGTAAGCTAAGGTTAATTATGAAAGAAAGAAAAATATTTTTTTTAATTTAGTGTAGCATAAGTGTACAGTGTTTATAAAGTCTACAGTAGTGTACAATAAAGTCCTAGGCTTTCCCATTCACTCACCACTCAGTAATTCACCCCGAGCCACTTCAGGCCCTGCAGCTCCATTCATAGCAAATACCTTATACGGGTGTACTTTAAAAAAAATACCTTATACTGTATTTTTACTGTACCTTTCCTATGTTTATATGTTTAGATATGCAGATAGTTACCATTCTGTTTCAGTTGCCTACAGTGTGCAGTACAGTAATAAGCCATGCAGGTTTGTAGTCTGAGAGCAACAGGCTGTACCATATAGCCCAGGTATGTAATAGGCTATACCATCTAGATTTGTGTAAGTACATTCTGTGATATTTGCACAATGATAAAATCACCTGACACATTTCTCAGAATGTATCCCCATCCTTCAATGACACATGACTGTATTAGAACTGCTTACTACAGCCTACGTGTGTAGTATAAGCTACGTACATAGGCTATATGGTATAGCTTGTTGTTGCTGGGATATAAGCCTGCGTAGCCTATTACCATACTGAAAACTGTATGCAGTTGTAACACAATGGTATTTATCTAAACATATCTAAACAGAAAAGGTACAGTAAAAAGTAGGCAAAGGACATGAACATATACTTCTCAAAAGAAGACCCACAAGTGGCCAACAAATACATGAAAAAATAACTCATCATCACCAGTCATTAGAAGAATGCAAACCAGAACCACAAAGAGATACCATCTCACATCAGTCAGAATGGCTTTTGTTAAAAAGTCAAAAAATAACAGATGTTGGCAAGGCTGTGGAGAGAAGGGAACACTTATACACTGTTGGTGGGAATGTAGATTAGTTCAGCCACTGTGGAGAGCAGTTTGGATACTTCTCAAAGAACTGAGACTTGAACTACCATTCAACCCAGCAATCCTCCTAGTGGGTATATACCCAGAGGAAAATAAATCATTCTATCAAAAAGACACATATACCCGCATGTTCATTGCAGTGCTATTCACAAATAGCAAAGATATGGAATCAGCCCAGGTGCCCATCAGTGGTGGATTGGATATGGAAAATGTGTTATATATACACTGTGGAATACTACACAACCATAGAAAAGAATGAAATCATGTTATTTGCAGCAACATACACGCAGCTGGAAACCATTATCCTAAGTGAACTAATAAAGAAGCAGAAAACCAAATACCACTTGTTCCCACTTGTAAGTGGGAACTAAATATTGAGTAAACATGGTCATGAAAATGGGAAAAATAGTGGTGGATACAATATGGGGGAAGGAGGGAAGGCGGTGGGGGTATGAATTGAAATAAACTGTTTATTTTATGTTGTGTATTATGCTCACTACCTGGGTTATAGATTCATTTATACACCAAACCTCAGCATGATGCAATATATCTATGCAACAGACCTACACATGCACCCCTAATTCTAAAGTAAAAGTTGAAAAAAGCAAAATATGTATATATATTTACAATAAAAGAAAAATATAAATTTAAAATAAAAATAAAACTGTAAGAATGAAGGAATAGTAAATTATTTTTTACTTTATAAGGGGAAAGGATTATAGGCTTATTTTATTATTTTGAGACAAGGTCTTGCTCTGTCACCCAGGCTGGAGTACAGTGATGCAGTCATGGGTCATGGCAACCTCCACCTCCTGGACCCAAACCCTACTCCACCCCCTGAGTAGCTGAGACTACAGGTGCACACCATCACACCCAGTTAATTTTTGCACTTTTTGTAGAGAGGGGGTTTGGCCATGTTGCCCAGGCTGGTCTTGAACTCCTGGACTCAAGCGATCTGTCTGCCTCAGCCTCCCAAACTGCTGGGATTACAGGCATGAGCCACCATGCCTGGCCTCTAGTAATTTAAAAAATATTTCCCTTTACATACAGCTTTTAAGAAGCACAATGTTATTTTATTTGTATATTATATATACACTCTTCACTATTCATTTTAAATACAAAGCAGATCTTGAGATATGTAGAAACCTAAGCCATCTTTAAAGTTGAGGATGTTCTTATTTATAAAGGTTTTCCTTTACATTCTGATTTCACTATTTTTGTAATTATAACTAAACTGTGATTTGTTATAACTCATGATCACAAATTGAGCATGTATCTGTACCTCATTAAAATTGTATTTAGACATTAAAAAGAAAAAGAAAAAGAGGCCACAGATAGCTGCTCTGTGCCTTCCACCATCTGAAGACACAAAGAAGAGTTGGCATCAGTGAACTTAGAGCAAGTCCTTACCAGACATGGATTTGCCAGTGCCTTGATCTTGAACTTTCTAGTCTCAAGAACTATGAGAAATAAATTATGTTGTTTATCAGCCACCCAGTGATAGTTTGTTATAGCAGCCTGAATAGACTAAACAGTAAGCTTTTTTTTTTTTTTTTAAAGACAGAGTCTCACTCTGTCACCCAGGCTGGAGTGCAATGGCACGATCTTGGCTCACTGCAACCTCTGCCTCCCGGGTTCAAGCGATTCTTCCACGTCAGCCCCCCGAGTAGCTGGGATTATAGGCACCCACCATCATGCTCAGCTAATTTTTGTATTTTTATAGAGATGGGGTTTCACCATGTTGGCCAGGCTGGTCTTGAACTCCTGACCTCAGGTGATCCGCCTACCTTGGCCTCCCAAAGTGCTGGGATTACAGGCATGAGCCACTGCCCCTGGCCAGTAGGTTATTTTTTATTTTGAAGTATCAAGATTATTATTACCTACAAAGTTATGCAACTGTATATCCACTATAATAGTATTTACAGTAATCAAAAAGTCATAATGTAAATGTCAAAACAACATTGAAATAGTAATGAATAATATACATGTAGAGTAAAAGATATTAAAGAAGATGCTTGCATAAGTTGCTAATGATGAATGTTAAAGTATATTAGAGTAGAAGGGCATTTTTCAACTGATATGGAAAATTTTCCTGTATATATAATGGTTAATAATACTAAGATAAAATTTTACTTTTTCTAAAATTCTTTTTTTTTTTTTTTTTTTTGAGATGGAGGCTCACTCTGTTGCCCAGGCTGGAGTGCAGTGGCACAATCTCAGCTCACTGCAACCTCTGCCTCCGAGGTTCAAGCGATTCTCCTGCCTCAGCCTCCCAAGTAGCTGGGACTACAGGCGCGTGCCACCATGCCCGGCTAATTTTTTTTTTTGTATTTTCAGTATAGACGGGGTTTCACCATGTTAGCCAGGATGGTCTCCATCTCCTGACCTCCTGATCCGCCCTCCTCGGTGGATCCCGCCCAAAGTGCTGGGATTACAGGCGTGAGCTGCGCCCGGCCTTTACTAAACTTTTTTAAGTGAAGTGGAGATAGTTTACAAAATAAATGTTAACTCTTTTTTTTTTCAATAGCAACAAAAGCACAGATTTATTGAAATGAAAGTACACTCCACAGAGTGGGAGCGGGCTCGAGCAAGTGGCACTCGAGCCATGATGAAGTCCTAACTAGTGGAGTTAGGAATGCTTTGTATGTTGATAGTCAAGTGCTTTACTAATCCAAAAGCCTTATTTTCATTGTATTTCCATTCATATTGGCTAATCTCTGGAAAATTACTCAAAGTTTTTATTAATAGTTGGTATTTCAAGCTTTTTAAACAAAAGTCTAAGGAATCATTTAATGAATGTTGATATTCTACATATTTTAATACTGAAGTGTGACATGATTTTTCCCTGAGTACTGTTAAGTTTAGCCTGAAGCTCCCACCTTATGTATTTTAAACTTGGCCTAAAAGTTTCTCTGTACACAGTAAACTGTAACCTAACTGGTTGTGTAAACAGACTGCAACCTACTCTTGTGCTAATCACTGAGGTTCAGCCAATTAAAGGCAACCAGTTGTTCAACCTGTGTTCAAGTAAGGCTGACCCTGAGCTGTAACTGACCCGTCTGTTTCTGTACCTCACTTCCGTTTTCTGTGTGTCACCTTCCTTTTTCTGTCCGTAAATAATTTTCGACTATGCACCAGCACCAGTGTCTTTGAACCTATTCTTGTTCCAGGACTGCCCAATTCTTGAATCCGTCTTTGCTCAGTTAAACTCCGTTAAATTTAATTGTCTAAGGTTTTTCTTTCGTAATACTATCTTGAATTAGTCACACGTTCACTGATCTAACAAAGAAAGAATGTAAATTAGAAAATTAAGTAGTATCAGGGACATATAGTATTTATATAATTCTAAATACACGGTAATGTCTAATATTATGTAGCTTGTGTGTTTTTCATCCAATTTTAAACATCAGGTCTTTAGACTTTGATTCCTTTCATTTTCAAATTTCTAATGAAATGATTTTGGTAATTGGTAATTATTTTTTTGTACCAGAGAAAGAAAATGTACAAATAAACTTTCAGGAATGTAATTAACTATATAACATCAAAGGAGAATCAGTGCATTAAAAAGCCAAATTTTTGGCTGTTCCTATTTATACATGTGGCTTAAAGATCTTTATAAAATAAAGATGGATATTTATTCTAAAAGGGTACATAGGGGTGTATGTGTTAAATAGCCACATTTTAGTTTGTTTGAATCAAGACTCAAATGGAATTGTAAAGGGACAGAATCTTATTAAAAACAACATGAAAATGACTTGCCGGCCATTGATTTGTACAGCTTGGATGGCAAGTGTTAAAATAATGGTTATCTAGAAATTGTAGAACCCTATTTTATGATACTATTATGTAAGAGAGTGTTGGCAAGTTATTTAATGGAGCAGGTTTAAGTCATGTGAGACTTACAAATATTTGCATAGAAACTGAATCCCAGTGGTGGCATGTGGAAATAATTTTTTAAAGGATATGCTTAGGCTATTTAAAAGTTATTTAGTATCAGATTTCAGATCCCATTTTAGAGCTGACGTGAATTTGAAAACATGCCAAGCTTTATGTTATAGTCTACATTACAACTTTAGTCTCAATGGAATCTAAATACTGCCTTGTGAGTTCTGTGAAAAAATTTAATATAGCATAACAGACAGAAATGATTGTCTTGTACTTTCTGAAATAAGTGATACTGCTTCTTCCTCCACATTAGTGAAAAAAGACTGAGGAAGGGGCTTTTATAAGCAAAACCATTTATACATTTGAACACTCTAGGAGTTGTCATTTTAAAATTAGTTCTCAAATAATGAGATACAACTGTTTATTATATAATCAAAACACTACATGAAAACAGGAAAACTGTTAAAATAGTACTATAACTGTTACTTGTATTTGATTATTATAAACTCCTGGGAAAATGGGATAAATACTGTATTAAAAAGAAGATATCTTCCCACTCAGTACCAAAAACTTCCAGATGTAAGTAAAAATTTAAGTGTAAAACATAAAACCATAAAAGTAGTATAAAAAATACGTGAAGTAAATATAGAATATTAGAATGATTCCCATTTCTAGCAGGTACCTAAAACAATAAATAAAAAGACTTCATTTAATTACATAAAAATCCATAGGGTTTTTATATAAGAGAATAAAATTTGAAAGCAAACTAAAAGAGAAGTTTGAAATATATATGACAAATGCCTAATACTCTGATTATATGATGAGTACTTATAAATAAAAAATTTGTAGTTCATAGAAGAAATACAAATAGCTCAAAATTTATAAATGATTCAATCTTAAGAGCAAAAAAGAAAAAAAAAGATGAGATCTTTTTATTCATCAAATTGGCAACTATGGCCGGGCACAATGGCTCACACCTATAATCTTAGCACTTTTGGAGGCCGAGGCGGGAGGATTGCATGAGCTTAGGAGTTTGAGATCAACCTGGGCAGCATAGACTTTGTACAACAACAACAACAATAACAACACTCAAGATATGGTGCAAATACTGTAAGAAGCTCAGAAATGGACAGTTTGACATTATGTATTCACATATTCACATTGTATCCTTTGAAGCAGCATCTCTACTTACAATAATTTATCTGTTGGAATAATAGAGAATGTGAATAACGATTTAGTTACAAAGAAGTTCACTAGTGTGCTATTTGTAATAGCATACTGTTGGAAGCTATCTGATTTTTCAATAATTAAGGTGATGAGATTGCAGTGTTTTTTTTTTACTGCTTTTATGTGAGCTATATCATTTCAAGATAATGTAAATAGAAAATAAAAAAAAACCTCAGTTGAGCTCATAGTAAATACTACTAAATATTTACTCTCTGCTCCAGTTTTCTGATTGATAAATTGTGGATAATAATAGTACTTACTCATAGGGATGTTGGGACAACTGAGTTAGTATATGAAAAGCACTTAGAAGGCCAGGCTCTGTGGCTCATGCCTGTAATCCTAGCACTTTGGGAGGCCAAAGTGCGTGAATCACTTGAGCCCAGGAGTTTGAGACCAGCCTGGGCAGCATGGCAAAACCCTGTCCCTACTGAAAAATACAAAAATTAGCTGGGTGTGGTGGCACATGCCTGTAGTCCTAGCTGCTGGGGAGGCTAAGTTGGGGGATTGCTCGAGCCCAGCAGGTTGAGGCTGCAATGAGCCATGATCACGTCACTGCACTCCAGCCTGGGCAACAGGGTGAGACCCTATTTCAAAAAAAAAAAAAAAAGCACTTACAATAGTGGTTGGCATGTAATGAGTGCTAACTGATGTTTGCTGGTATTAATTCACAAAATGTCCCTGAAATATAACATAGAAAATCATGGTTTGTTGTGTGTATGTTACAGATACATATATAAAAGAGGCCGAGTGTGGTGGCTCACACTGGTAATCCCAGCACTTTGGGAGGCTGAGGCAGGTGAATCAGTTGAGGCCAGGAGTTCAAGACCAACCTGGCCAACGTGGTGAAACCCTGTCTCTACTGAAAAAACAAAACCCACAAAAATTAGCCAGGCGTGGTGGTGCACGCCTGTAATCCCAACTACTTGGTAGGCTGAGGCAGGAGAATTGCTTAAACCCAGGAGGCAGAGGTTGCAGTGAGCTGAGATTGCGCCGCTGCTCTCCAGCCTGGGCAACAGAGCAAGGCCTTGTCTCAAAAAAAAAAATTTTTTTTTAATTTTAAAGTATGTGTATATATATATATGAATATGATATGTGGTTAATTTGGAATATGAAAATTACCTGACTTTAAGAAACTGGCCTACTTGAAAGTAAGTGATCAAAGGATCGCCTTATAAAAAGATACTCTAAATTTGTCTGGAAATTTTGTCCCTGCTACAAACACATGTTAAATGCTGACCTGAAGCTGATTTTGATATTAAACAGAATCTTTCTTGGTTTCTTTTGAACAGGTTGGCTCAAAGCTAATCTCTTGTCACAAGCTGGTATTGGCTTGTGTTATTCCCTACTTTAGAGCCATGTTTCTTTCTGAAATGGCTGAAGCCAAGCAAACGCTGATTGAGATTAGAGATTTTGATGGTGATGCAATAGAAGACTTGGTAAAGTTTGTCTATTCTTCACGGCTCACTTTGACTGTTGACAATGTCCAGCCTCTCTTATATGCAGCCTGTATTCTGCAGGTTGAACTGGTGGCTAGAGCTTGTTGTGAATACATGAAGTTACATTTTCATCCCTCCAATTGCCTGGCAGTAAGAGCCTTTGCAGAAAGTCACAATCGAATAGACTTAATGGACATGGCGGATCAGTATGCCTGTGACCATTTTACTGAAGTAGTGGAGTGTGAAGACTTTGTAAGTGTATCACCGCAGCACCTCCATAAGCTTTTGTCCTCCAGTGATCTAAATATTGAAAATGAAAAGCAGGTCTATAATGCTGCCATCAAGTGGCTTCTTGCCAATCCTCAGCATCATTCCAAATGGTTGGATGAAACACTTGCACAGGTAGGAGCTGAAATAAGATTTCACACAGAAATGAAGTGATATGGAAGCAAATCAACATGCTTCATTTATTAGGAAAAGTGTAGATTATTTCAAGGAATATAGAAATTATTGATGTAATAAATAATAGAAATGGCTTTTAGCTCTCTAATTTTCCTGTTAACTTGCTGTGCTGTTTCAGGATGAATCTAAATTTGTCACATTTGAATTAGCAATATCATTCTCTGCTTTTAACCTGAATATTTAAAATATTCCTTTGGGATACTAATGATGAATATTTTATTTATGCCAATAGAAAATGGTTTGAAGAAATAGCTCTAAATTAATATACTTTATAATTATTGTTTTATAATGGTTTCTAAATTTTAATGAATTATTTTGCTAATAAAAGTATAGTTATTCCTAATGTGGATAGATTTATTATGTAAACAACCATAGGACATCACTTCTATTTTCTTCTCTCACCGTAGTTTGACTTTTTTTAAACCTCAGAAATGTGTCTCATTGTTACTGTTCTTATTTTTTACTGTCAATAGGAGTTACCAGGATAAGAAGATTATAGGCCCTTGTGATCTTTTTTTCTTTTGTCGTCTTCCTCTCCTTTCTCTCCCTTCCCTCCTTCCCTTCCTCCATTTTTTCCTTTCTTCATTTATTCCTGAGAAGTAAAATGACATTTTGCTACTTAAAAGAAGAGTGTTCTTATTTACTTATTTTTTCTAAATTAAATGCTTTGTTAAAACTTAGTGCTTGATAAAAGCACTCAGTGATAATTCTCGTGATTTTTAATAACAAAGTTTCCTAATAGCATTATCAGAAACTTAAACAAATAGTAAGAAGAATGAAGAAGAATGAAAGTGCTTATAATTACCAGTGTTCTCATTTTAGATATTTATAGGCAGATGAAGTAAACCTATTCAGAGTATGATGATAAGACATTTTTTCAAGTGCATATCACAATATTTATGCATTCATATGAGTATCAAAGTTCAGAACACATTTACATCTTCTCAGAATTATTTTGAAAGTAAGTTTGTCAGCAAAGCAAATAGAAAGTTTCATTATCTTGCAGCTATATCTTATTTGTGTATATGTGTTTTTCTTTAAGATGGTAAGGCAGATTTCGTTCAAGGGGGGCCATAACAATAGATACAGGGACTGCTGCAACGAAGTCTTGCAGTTGGGGAGAGAGACTGGACTCAACCCCTTACGTGTGTGTGTGCTTTTAACTCAAAATAGCATTACCTGGTTTCATCATCCCCTTTAATCCACTGGAAAATCAGTGTATCTTTAATAGAGGAATGGTGAATGCCTCTGTTGAAAGAGGGGATGCATCCCTAAGTTAGTATATTCCCTTCCAAGATCATTAATTTGAAGAAAACAACACTTGTTTCAGATATGAATTTTTACATTTTTAAGTAAGAAATCACATTTCCCTATGTTTAATCTTAGCTTAAAAAGGCAAAAGAACAAAGCACAGCACTTTTGTTTTGATTGTGCCTTTATCAATAGAAGGGCCTTGTGATTATGTCAGTACCGTTTTTGGAAGTAAGCAATTTGAATGAAGACAATTCAATTATAAAGCCTATTTAAACCGATATTTAAAGTGGGTGGATATAATTTAACGTGTAGTCTGATTGCATTTGAGCAGACCAGTACTGGAAATTGCTTATAATTTGGCACATTGAAAATCATGAACATGTTACATTTCATGAAGTAACAACTTAAGTTTTAAAAAGAGAACATGCTGCAGTAGAAGTGGAGAATTACTCATCTTGTTTTCACCTTTATTTGATACAATTTTTAGACTTTATATTTTCCCAAGAAAATATAAAATTTGTTGTATTGCAACTATTCATGATCTTAGGTTCGCCTGCCATTGTTGCCGGTTGATTTTCTTATGGGTGTTGTGGCAAAAGAACAGATTGTCAAGCAAAATCTAAAATGTAGAGATTTACTGGATGAAGCAAGAAATTACCACCTTCACTTGAGTAGCAGAGCAGTACCTGACTTTGAATACTCCATTCGGACTACCCCAAGGAAGCATACTGCTGGTAACCAAATTATTTTGTCAATTCTCCTGGAAGGATCTTTGTTGTATTTGAGGGTTGTTCATGTGTGCCCAAACTTAGTTGTAATATAATTAGTGTCTGATTGCCTTAAAGTAATAATTGGCAAATACGGTTTTATATATTTATAATTTTTACTGTACATTATTTAGTTTTACCAATAAGCCAGTTTTTTAAAAAGCCGTAATCAGTCCTGTATACTCTGAAGAGCCTACTGAAATATCTCTTCTTTTGAGATCTTTCCCGATTCTGAACTTGGTTTACTATGTTGCATTGTCATTTACTCATTTGACATGTCTTAAGTTCTTCAAAGACAGCTGAGTATCTTATTTAGGTTTCTATCCCTAGGGCCAAGCATGGAACTTGAAATATATTGTGCATCTAAATATTTGTTTTTTCATTTTACCAAATAAAAAGGGCACTAAACATAGCTAACATTTGTATAATGGGTTATATTAAACTCTTAGAGTCTAAAGCCCTTATATTTTAGGAGGCAGGCAGTTTCACCTTTATTTGATACAATTTTTAGACTTTATAATTTTTCCCAAGAAAATAGTTCATGTTCGCTTCTTTTTTTTTGAGACATTATGCTATAAGAAGTATCACTTTTTAATAAAATATTTATAAAGCGTAACATATTTGAGACATGAGTGAATACATGAGGTTCAGAAATTTAGGAAGAGGAGCTCTAAATAGAGACTTCCTCTATATATGGTGCAATCTAAATATGCAGTTATCAAATAATGAGGTCTTTGATAGCCTGAAAACAACAACAAAAGGCAATACCTGATTATGAGTAGAATGAGATTTTATCTAGGTAATACAAAGAAATGCTGAAAGTCATACACCTACCTATGAAGAAGTAGTTCTTCTAGATAATTAGTTTAACATGAAACTAATTATCCTCATTTTTTATAGGTTGATGTAAGTAAGTAATTTTTTTTTTTTTTTTTTTTTTTGAGACGGAGTCTCTGTCGCCCAGGTTGGAGTGCAGTGGCGCGATCTCGGCTGGCTCACTGCAAGCTCCACCTCCCAGGTTCACGCCATTCTTCTGCCTCAGCCTCCTGAGTAGCTGGGACTACAGGCGCCCACAACCATGCCCAGCTAATTTTTTTGTATTTTTAGTAGAGACGGGGTTTCACCGTGTTAGCCAGGATGGTCTCAATCTCCTGACCTCGTGATCTGCCTGCCTTGGCCTCCCGAAGTGCTGGGATTACAGGCGTGAGTCATCGCGCCCGGCCCAAGAATTGATTTTTTTTAGTTGTATAGCTTTTTTGTTGTGAATTTAGAAAGTCAGTGTATTTGATGGAATTCTTCAAACTCAGAATTGAATTCAAATAACATCTTAGCAGCCTAGGTTATATGCCAAAATATACTAGACAGTCATATAAATGATCTACATGACTGAAGGAACTTTATGTAGTAGGTTTTAGATAAGGATTTGATCCTCATTTTGAAATAGGTCGTTTTATTCTGTTTTAAGGATGAGGAGACTAAGAATTAAGTTAAAAATATGCCGAAGGTCACACATAGAAATAGTAGAGAAAGGGTATGCATCCTGGTCTTTTACTTCTATTTTAGTTTTTTTTTTTTTCCTTCCATACGATGTTCCTATGTGAACTATATAGATGAAATACTAGTTTCTACTTAAAGAAAATCTAATCAAAGATTAACATTGCATTCTGGGATTATAATCCTAGCTGTGCCATTGAACATCTGTAATTTTGGGCAAATTTATTAATCAGGGTCTCAGTTTACTTATAAACAGATTTCTTTTTTTTTGAGACTGAGTCTCGCTCTGTCACCCAGGCTGGGGAGCAGTGGCGCTTTCTCAGCTCACCATGCCTCCCAGGTTCAAGCCATTCTTGTGTGCCCCACCACGCCGGGCAAATTTTTTTTTTTTCTTTTTTTTTTTGTATTTTTACTAGAGGCAGGGTTTCACCATGTTGGCTAGGCTGGTCTCGAACTCCTGACCTCAAGTAATCCACCCACCTCAACCTCCCAAAGTGCTGGATTACAGGTATGAGCCACTGCGCCCAGCCCAGCTTATAAACAAATTTCTTAATCAAGGCCTCTGTTTACTTATAAACAATTTGACTAAATGATCTTCACAGTTTCTTCCAACTTTTTTTTTTATTAAAAAAATTTTTTTGAGACAGGATCTTGCTCTGTCATCCAGGCTGGAATGCAATGGTGCAATCACAGCTCACTGTGCCTTGAACCTCATGGGCTCGAGCAGTCCTCCTCCCTCAGCCCCCTGAGTAGCTGGAATCATAGGCACATACCCAGATATATTTTTTTCTTTTTTGTAGGGATTGGGTCTCACTATATTGCCCATGCTGGTCTCAAATGCCTGGGCTCAAGTGATTCACCCACTTCAGCCTCCCAAAGTGCTGGGATTATGGGTGTGAGCCACCATAATTTGCTGCTCTTCCGACTTTAAATTTATCTGACTTAAAATATTGAATTAGTTGAAAAAGATAGCACAAGCAGCTACCAGGCATTCATTTATGCAGTCATTCAGCAAACCTTTATTAAGTGCCTACCATGTGAAAGGCTCTGGGTTAAACATAAGAAATGCAGGCACATACAGAATACAGCCGGACTTATTTTGGAATAACTTGTCTGGTCTAGGAAAATAGACATTTGAATAAATGCAGTAAAGTCTTAACAGGTACTTTTATATCTTCATAAGGTATAATGGGACTTACAAAGAAAACAGTAGTTATTTTTTATCTTGGAAGAGTCAGAAAAGGTTTTGTAGAGAAAGTAAACCTTAGCCTTGGTTGTGAATAATAAATAAATGTTCTTCTGAATGCTAGTTAGGGTAAGGGTGTTCAGTTCATTTTACAATTATTGAATGCCTAGTACATGGCAGGTACTGTGCTAGTCCTTGTTAATGCATAATTGCTTAATACACAGTCTTAACCTACCTTAGACTCTGGTAACAGATGTTGGCATAACAGATCATTTTAATACTGTGTGTTAAATAAATGCTAATTACCAAAAGTGCTATAGGAACACCAAAGATGTGTACTATATGCATAGTTGCAGGAGCATGAAGTTTAAGAGAGAGAAAGAGGGGAGGAGATTGGGTTAGATCCTGGAAGACCTTTATGCTGTGATAAGGTTTTACCTTGTAAGGTAGCCTTTGCTGCTCAAAGTATGAAGGAAGTGGTCACCCCTCGACCAGCAGCATCAGCCTTCACTTGGGAACTTGTAAGAAATGCAAATTCTTGGACTTATCCCAAACCTACTGAATCAGAAACTCTGGAAGTCAGGCCCAGCAATCTGTGTTTTATGCCCTCCAGCTGATTCTGAATTACACTACACTGTTTTTTTTTTTAATTGTGGTAAAATATATATAACAAAATTTGCCATTTTAAGCATTTTTTGTCTTATTTATTTTTAGAGACAGGGTCTCACTCCATCACTCAGGCTGGAGTGCAGTGGTGCAATCATAGCTCACTGCGGCATTGAAATCATGGGCTCAAGTGATCCTCCTGCCTCAGCCTCCCATGTAGTTGGCACTACAGGCATGCCCCACCACAGCTGGCTAATTTTAAATTTTTTTTGTAGAGATAGGGGTCTTGTTCTGTTGCCCAGGCTGGTTTCCACCTCCTGGCCTCAAATGATTCTCCTGCCTCAGCCTCCCAAAATGCTGGGATTACAGGCATGAGCCACTGCACCTGCCCATTTTAACCATTTTTAAGTGTACAATTCAGTGGCATTCACTAAAGTTTTTGAGAAGTACTGGTGTAGGTAATGGAAGGCTATCAAAAGAGCCTTTTCATTAGTTTACTGTGTTGACAATCTGAAAGCAAAAAGACAGCTAAGTGTTAAGAGAGGACAGGATTTTGCAGTAGTTAAGTAGTAGGTGATGAGGGCATGAACTGTTCCCAGTGGTATTGGGAATAGAGAGGAACAGATAGGACACCACAGGGAAGGAAGAGGTTGTTTAGGTAGGCAAGAAGGGGAGATCCTTTTGAACTTGTTGGGTTTGAGGTGTCTGTGGGACATCAAGTGGAGATGTGGCTTAGAAATGTATATAGGAAGGTGTTATGATATAGATGGAATCTAAAACAAAGGGATGAACTTTTCCTGTGTGAGCAAAAAATATGTGAGAAATGGGCTAAGGATGGAACATGGAAAACATAGAAGGAAATAGATGATTGGAGACAAAAGGAGACTGATATAGAAATCAAGGAAGTAAGATGTTTCCCAAAAAATGGGATGATCAGCATATCAAATGTTGCAATTGTGTTCAATAAGAAATTAACTTAGAGGCTGATTGGTTTTGTTACGACCTTAGGAAGAGTAATTTTAGAAGGTAGGTGAGAGTATAAACCATATTGTAGTGGGACATTAGCAAGCAGAGATAGTTGATATACCCTATTCTTTGAGGGGACAAGAAGAAAATTTTATTAGATTTCTAGTAACATAATAACATTGAATACTATCCAAATAACTTTTTTTTGTCTTTTTGCTTTTATCCAAAGTTTTGGCTTTCTAATTTTTTTCAACTTGGCAGCTATGATTTATCTCTATTTTGTGGCTTTACCTTTAGGTGTGCTGTTTTGTGTAGGTGGTCGAGGTGGATCTGGTGACCCCTTTCGCAGTATTGAATGCTATTCTATCAACAAAAACAGTTGGTTCTTTGGACCAGAAATGAATAGTCGAAGGCGACATGTGGGTGTAATCTCTGTGGAAGGTGGGTCCACTCTTGTCTGAAATATCATATGATCACAATGCTCTTTTTAAAATATTTCAACTCTGAGAATTTATTTTTATATAAGAAAATGACTAAATTGTAAATTATTTTTAAATAAAATGCTTGGTTAGTGATAATTTACTTGCTTTGTGCCCACAGATGCTCAGTGTGCATAATGTGGAGATGAATATCAGAGAAAAGAGATATAAAGAGTTAAACTATTCTGAGTTATAGTTACCAAAAAACTAAACCAAGGAAAAATGTTTATAGAACTCAAATTATAATTACATATCAGCTTTTTTATGCCCATCTAATTAAAATTAATGATTATTAGTACAATTAATTTTTTTTTACTTATTCCTGAAAATGAATTAATTTTAGAACCATGGATAAATTGTCAGAAAACTCTAAAAGATCACTTTTTTATTATAAAAGTATAAATGAATTTTTAACAATATAAAAACATTTTCATAAAAAATGAAAACCACTTGCAACACAAACACCCAGAAGTAGTCACAGTTGACATTTTGGTGTACAATCTTGCCTATCTTTCTCTGTGTGTTTTTGTTTGTTTTATTGAGGAAAAAAATTGATCATATTAACAGTTTTATGGAGATTGAGGTGGGAGGATCATTTGAGCCTGGGAGTTCAAGACCAGCCTGGGCAACGTAGGAAGATCTTGTCTCTACAAAAATTTAAAAATTTAGCCAGACATAGTGGTGCACGCCTGTGGTCTCAGCTACTTGGGAGGCTGAGGTGGAAGGATCACTTGAGCCTAGGAGTTTGAGGCTGCATTGAGCAGTCATAACGCCACTGCACTCCAGCTTGGGTGACAGAGCAAGACCCTGTCTCAAAAAGAAAAGCCAAACAACAAACCAGTTTTATATGTATGTGTGTAAGTGTGTGTGTGTGTGTGCACAGTTTATATATATATATATAGTTTTTGTTTGTTTGTTTGTTTGTGTTTTTTTTGAGATGAAGTTTCGCTCTTGTTGCCCAGGCTAGAAGGCAGTGGTGCGACCTCAGCTCACTATAACCTCCGCTTCCCAGGTTCAGGCAATTCTGCCTCGGCCTCCCAAGTAGCTGGGATTACAGGTGTCCACCACCACACCCGGGTAATATTTTGTATTTTTAGTAGAGATGGGCTTTCACCATGTTGGTCTTGATCTCCTGACCTCAGGTGATCCGCCCACCTCAGCCTTCCAAAGTGCTGGGATTACAGGCATGATCCACCATGCCCAGCCACCAGTTTTATATTTTCAAATATAACCTAATAAGAGCATTTTTCCATTTTATTAAGCATTCTCTGAAGGCATGATTAGTGATTTCATCTACCAAGTAATAAAAAGTTGGGAAGCCTAAGGGGGGGCGATAATATTAGAGCATTTACTAATAAATAACTTCATGTAGAACAGCATGTTTAGTGCAAGCTTACATTGATTTTTCATTCAACTACTGAAATGACATTGATCATAATGTTGAACAGAACAGCAATTATTGAAAATTAACTTATGGTGATATTTTAATTATATAATGTTTATATATGTAACATTAATGATATGAATTTATTTGTTTGGAGTCAAATGAAAATACTTCTCTATTTGACAGGTAAAGTGTATGCAGTAGGTGGACATGATGGAAATGAACATTTAGGGAGTATGGAGATGTTTGATCCTCTCACTAATAAATGGATGATGAAGGCATCAATGAACACAAAGAGGTAGATCAGCATGGAAAGTTATTTTGAACTGATGGTGGAAATAAAGTTTCTTAAAATTTAAAGGCCTTATTTTAAACTTTTTTTTCTACTTTAGAAACTTTAAATACCTTCTCAAACACATTTTGTTAGCATGTCCAAAGTGATACTTTGTTAACACCTTTTATTTTTTTTAAGAATTAAAAATGCAGTCATGTTTTAGAGTACCATATGGTAGTCACAGTTTTCACTTATACATGAGCATTGATTTTTTTAAACATTTTATTTTGAGATAATTTTAGTTTATTCAGAGAAGTTGCAAAAATATTAAAGTTTCTGTGTACCAGTGGTTCTCAACTGAGGATGATTTTGTCCCCTCTATGGGACACTTGGCAGTGTCTGAAGACATTTTTGGTTGTCACAGCTTGGGGATGGGAAAATTGCTGCTAGCATCTATGGGAAGAAGTCAGAAATGATGCTAAAGATTCTATAATGCACAGCAAAGAATCTTCTAGTCCAAATGCCAGTGGCAAAGATAATCCCAAGTGCCAGTGGCAAAGATAATGCCAAATGCCAGTGCTGAGATGGCAAAACCTTGCCACCTACCCTGCACCTGGCTTCCCATAATGTTAACATGTTACACAGCCATAGCAGTTACTGAAATTAGCATTGAACAGTAGTATTAATTAATCTGTAGACTTTTTGAGTCAATTTTCCCAAACATCCTTATGCTTCTTACTGATTTTTCTTGTCTAATTGTATTGCCTAATAATCTAATACAGGTGAATAATGGCAGAGATAGTAGGTGTTTTTGTCTTGTTCCTGATCTTATTAGAAAAGTATCTAGTGTTTTGCTATTAAATAAGATACTGACTTTAGGACTAAGGTATCTATATTTTTATCATGTTAAGAAAATAGTCCTCAATTTCTCTTTTCTTCATTGATTTTTATCCTGATGAACAGTAATATTTTAAGTTCTCACCTACATATTTATGTTCTCATTTACATATTTATGTTCTAATATTTATATTCTCATCAACATAAACTGGAATATATGCTGATTAATGTATCAGTCTAAAGGGAAGATTTTTAGTAACATACTTAGTACTCTAACCTGTTTGACACTTTCATTAATGACTTGAATACCAGCTTTTTAGATATCCTAAGGTGGAAAGATCACTAAGGCATGTGACCAAATCAGGATTCCAAAGACGGAGTAGACCACATATACTCTAGACAAAAACCTAAAAAATGTTAAAATTAGAGTTATAGGTTAAAACCTGCCTTAGGTATTTTAAAAACTCAATCCCACGAGTACAACATAACATGGTGGGAAATCAGGTTTTTGATTGTTTCATATGGAGAAAAGTACCTGAACCATTATGAAACACAGCTCTTAAAAAAAAGGAAAGGAAAAAAGTGAATATAATACAGTTGCCTACATTAAAAGAAGTGAAGCCTTAGATTAAGGGAGTTATAGTTGTATTGTTCTTGACACTGATCTCTCCGTATCTATAGATGTATTGTTGAAGTAGGGTATATAACACCAGTTGGGGTATGGGAATAAAAGATTAGACTCTCTGTACATTTTTAAAAATTTATTTTGGGTGGATGTTTTATAATGAACATAACTTGTTAGTACAGTAACATGTTTATAATTTGAAAATAAGATCTATAGAAAATGCACAAAAATGGATTGTAATAAATGTGAGAATGATAATCTGGAATGCATGTAAGAAAAAACTAGCAGGTTAGTAATACAACTGAAAACCATGTTATCTACAAAAAATAGTTGAAGCGTTGTGATCTGGAGACAAGAAAACTTACAGGAGTTACTAGATATTTTAAGAGTGTATGTTGATTTAGTAGGAAGGAATAAATATTTGTTTATGATTCAGTATAGTAGCAATGAAGCATACTGTAATTCCTCCTAGTGATTGGAATTGTATTGTCAGAAAGATCACATATATTTTGCACCAAATGGGAGATTAAATTTTATTGCCTATTTTTTTTCAACTTTATTGTTCTGTTAATAGCGTGAGGATTTCAAAGACTGAGCTTAATAATTTGTATAAAACTAGATACTAGAATAATTCTGTCTCTGTGTCAGAGTGAAAATATAATGCGAGAAGAGAGAAGAGGGCTATCTTAGTAAATATTGAAAATATTGCTGAAGAGTTTCTTTTAATAAAACTGCAGGTGGGCCGGGCATGGTGGCTCATGCCTGTAATCCCAGCACTTTGGGAGGCCAAGATGGGCGGATCACCTGAGGTCAGGAGTTTGAGACCAGCCTGGCCAACATGGCAAAACACCGTCTCTACTAAAAATACAAAAATTAGCTGGGCGTGGTGGCGGGTGCCTGTAATCCCAGCTGCTGCGGAGGCTAAGGCATGAGAATCGCTTGAACCCAGGAAGTGGAGGTTGCAGTGAGCCGAGATTGCGCCATTGCACTCCAGTCTGGATGACAAGAGCAAAATTCCGTCTCAAAAAAAAAAAACTTGCAGGTGATATATATATATACACACACACATACACACATATATATGATATATAATGATACTGACCTTAATATATATAAATGTATCACCCACAGTTTAATTAAAAGAAACAAACCTGAACTAGTAAAACCATACCTGAGACATTGTGGCTTATATGGTTGGCAAATTAGCACCATTCTGCAAAAATGACTTGTTATCAAAATGAGCAATTAAAAACTAAACCACACATGGGGATATGTTGCCTCTAATTTTCTATTTTTGATTAATAATATTTTCAACTGGTTTTTGCTTCTTGTGTTAAAATATGAAAGATTAAAAAAAAATGTGAAGACATTTTAAGCTTTTTTTCCCCTCATGAAAAAGAATCCTAGAAAAAAAAAAAGCTAGTCTTAAACTGTTATCTCCCACTGTCTACAAATGACATTTTAATACTTTAATAGGGAGTGATTTACACTATGTGATAACTGCATGGATTAAAATGGGAGATAAAATCCCAAAGTACTTTTTTAATCTTTATATCCCTGTTACTATGTTGGTTTTTAGCCAAAGATTGAATGAAACTTCTCTAGCAAAATAGCAATTGAATTTCTTTAATCTTTTAAAATATGCCCCGAGCATTTACAATCTGTGTGAAAAATAATAGAGCTACAATTATTTTGTCATATTATTTGTTTATAACTTATATAGCCCCAAATCATCTTTTTGGCATTTCAATACATTTTCACATGTGAAATATCTGGTTATCTTTATTTTTTTATTTCATCTTTCCACTGAAATGGACACCGATGTTTGTTTAAGCTATGAGTCTGTTGAAACCCATCATCCTGACAGCATGTCTAAAGGTTCACTTATTTATTCAAAAAAAAGTTTTAAATGCCCACCACAAGACACACCAAGTGGTAAAGATACAACTTTGTTTTTTGCTACCAGCAGTAGAAAACATAGCCAGTGTCTCTGCCTCTGTATAGCTTACATTGTAGAAGAGAAGATAACAAATAATGACATAAGGGCAATAATATTAGCATGGGGTGAGTAAAGGGTGCTTGAGGAGTGGAGAACATCTTAATGAAGTCCCATTTATTATGATCTGAAGGAACTGCAGAATTTAGCCTGATTAAGTTATTATAGGTGGGGTAAGAGTGGTAAGTGGAGGGAGATGAAGAGCCTTCAAAAACCAGGCGATGAAAGAGAGCAAAGAGCATGAAAGTGGTCCAATGTAGTTGGAAGATTAAGGGGAAGAGTGTCTAGAAATGAGGCAGAAAGAGTAAGTAAAGGTTGAAGGCCTTTCAAGTTTGCCAAGGATATTTTATCTGATGGGCTTTGAATTAAACATATATATTTAATATGCATGTATAGTAAATATACATTTTATATTTTTATTTAAATAATAGGGGAATTGTAGGATCAGATTTCTCTTTTCAGAGAACTTCTGCATTCAAAATGGAGAAGGGATTTGAGGATGACCAGAGTGAAAACAGTCTGACAGACCAAAAAGGGTTATTGTAATTCTTCATCCCTTGATGTAAAGAAATAATGGTGGCTTAGACTATACTGATAGAAATTGAGATAGAGAAAAGAGGACATATTTGAAAGATAGTTCAGAGGTGTATGGTCAAAAACACTTTATGATAATTAGAAAGAACAGTTAGGTAGAGGCAAAGATGATTCTTCGGTTTCTGCCTTAAGCAACTGGATGGATAATGGTATGATTTCTGAATTAGGAAAACAACATGGTGAATGGGATAAAATTTTTGTTTGTTTTGTGATGGGGTTGTATTAATTTTCTATGTCCATGTAACAAATTGCCCCCAATTTAGCAGCTTAAAATAGCACCCATTTATTAGCTCACAGTTCAAAAGTCATGCAGGTTTTGCTAGGCTTTCTACTTAGGGTCCCACAAGGCCAGAATCAAGAGATTGGGCTAGGCTTTTGTCTGGAGGCACTGGGGAAGAAGCCACTTCCAGGGCCATTTAGGTTATTGATAGAATTCAGTTCCTTGTGGCTATAGGACTGTTTCTCATTTTTATTGGCTGTTGGCTACAAGTCACTGCCAGATCCTTCCCACATGTTCCCCCCCACCTTCAAACAAGCAATGGCACACTGCATTCACTTGGTTTTTTGAATTTCTGACAATCAGCTGGAGAAACCTCTCTGCTTTTGAAGGTTTGTTTGATTAGATTAGGCCCGCCAAGGTCACCTCCCTTTTGCCATATAATGTAGCATAGTCATGAGAGTAACACCAGGGGATGAAGGTCATGGGGGATGAGGAGTATCTTAAAATTCTGCCTACCACAGCGAGGTGGGCAGTGAGTTTCATTTCAGATTAAAGTTAAGGTTGAAGAGCCAGCAAGACATATTTGAGGTAGAAATTGGGTATATGTCTGAAAATATATATTTGAATTATCACAAATCTGTGGAAAGAATGGGATATGCTTAGGGAGAGAAAGTGTAGAGTGACCCTTAGGGAACTTTATAATTTAATGATGGAGTAAAGAAGGCACTGATGAAGCTGAAAAGCACTAGCCAGAGACGTAGGAGTGGACTAAAACGTATGATGTTATGAAAACCAAGAGAGTTTTGAGGAGTAGGAAATAAGCCAATGATGTTGTCTGCTTTTGTCCTTTAAGGGGAGGGACAATTATGAGGCATACTTACTTTATTTCCCTGACCTAACATCGTTACATTCTAGAGAACACATGTACTTGTTCTCACACACCTGAACATTTTTATCAGCACAGTATTTGGTAAGTCATAGCTTTATACCCAAGAGAAAAGAGGTTGAGGAGCTTGAAAGTGAATGATAACATTATCCTTAAGAATTCTTTTGTTGGATACTCTCTGGTAAATTTAGAGTTAGAATCTCAGTGAAGCAGCTGCTTTCTCCAATAATAATAAAAGCTAATACTTCATAGAACTAAATATGGGCCAGACATTGTTCTTAGTGCTTTACATGTATTAACTCATTAATATCCATCTATGTCTCAGATGAGACACAAGATAGTAGAGGTTTATAAATTATCCAAGCTAGTGACAAAATAATAGTTTGATAATAGTTCAACTTTTGATTGGTGCAGTGTGTTTTTTAAGAAATTGAGTTTTTTTTTTGATCACTGTTAAATCAGCTTTTAACATGGGCTAAGTCTCTTACTTTTAGAGAGAAATAAATACGCTTCAGAAATAAAGCAACGTGACATAAAACTTGTAATATAAAATTTAATACTCTTTTGTGTGGTATAATGAAACCCTGCAACAAAATGAGCTCTGTAATTGCATGGATTTGTAAGTGAGATTGGCTTCTGACCTCCGCTGCAGAACTTCTCTGTCAACTCATTAACCTCTCAGTTATGCCGCTGTGTGTGCACTAATTGAATATTTTGAACTCTTTTATACTATTTTGTTGGGTTATATTTTATTGTTTTGAGTTTAAAGTAGCCTGTGTAGGCTATGCACTGTACAACTTCAGGGGGCAGTATTCACATAGAGTTGCACAGTTTGGCAATTCTGTAGCCATCTAGTCAAAAGCTTTGATAGATCTAAAAATAATGGAAACAAACTATACTGTTTGAAGGTTAACATGATAAATGATTTGCATTAGCACAATTTTTTATATGACTTTTTTTCCTGGAAACAAACTCATTTGCTAAAGTATGTTTTATTGTCTTTGCAGGCGAGGAATTGCCTTGGCTTCCTTAGGAGGCCCAATTTATGCAATTGGAGGGTTAGATGACAATACTTGCTTCAATGATGTGGAGAGATATGACATAGAATCTGATCAGTGGAGTACAGTGGCACCAATGAATACTCCCCGTGGAGGAGTTGGCTCTGTTGCTCTAGTAGTAAGTTATATGGCAACTTGTCATTAAATTACATTGCATTACATTCATAACCAAAATAAGGAAAGGTCCAATATATCATCACCAGTATGAAGATATTATATATCATATTATTTCCTGAAATACTGCCTTGTACATTCTAATTTACCATTAAAACAATATATAAATAAATTCGAAATCTAATGTGTTTTGTTTGACTCTCTTCATTTAGAACCATGTTTATGCAGTAGGTGGCAATGATGGAATGGCTTCTTTATCTAGCGTGGAGAGATATGATCCACATCTGGATAAGTGGATAGAAGTTAAAGAAATGGGTCAGCGAAGAGCAGGCAATGGAGTTAGCAAGCTTCATGGTTGCTTATACGTAGTTGGTGAGTAAATGGGTATTTCTCTAATATATCAGTATATACAATGACAAGTGTCATATAACAGAGTAACAAAAATTACATTGCATTTAGCCTTAAGTAGAATCGGTCCTGAAATGTGCTTTTGAATTCTTTCTTACAAAATTTTGTTTATAATTAACAGAGAATTGTACATGTTCAGTCTGATGCTTTTGAATTCTTTGTTTTTTTTTTTTTCAGAGGGAGACAGTGTCTTTCTGTTGCCCAGGCTGAAGTGCGGTGGCACAATCGTAGCTCACTGCAGCCTTGAACTCCTGGGCTCACATGATCCTCCTGCCTCAAGCCTCTCAAGTAGCTAGGACTAGAGGCCCAGGCTATCACACCCAGCCAGTTTTTTTCTGTTTTTTGTAGAGATGGGTTCTTGCTGTGTTGCCCAGGCTGGTCATGAACAACTGGCCTTAGGTGATCCTCCTGCCTTGCCCTCCCAGAGTGCTGGGATTACAGGCATGGGCCATCATGCCTAGCTGAATTGTTAAGGTCACATTCATAATTTTTGTTTAAATCTTCATCTTTCATGTTTAAAACATGTACAGCCTTATTTTTCTAAGAGTAACAAATTTATTTAAAGAAGGGGATTACATTTAAATAAGGTATATGTTTTTAAATGGAAGGACACAGATTGAATGTGCTTTGCTACAATAAATTTTAAAAGGTCTCAGATTTGTTTTTCTCAACCTCATTTCAAGGGAAATTATGTTGAATACTTCAAGTAAGCCAGTAGGTATTTATTTATTTATTTTTGAGATAGAGTTTTGCTCTGTCACCCAGGCTGGAGTGCAGTGGTATGATCTCAGCTCACTGCAACCTCTGCCACACATGTTCAAGCAATTCTCCTGCCTCAGCCTTCTGAGTAACTGGGATTACAGGTGTGTGCTACCGTGCCCAGCTAATTTTTGTATTTTTAGTAAAGACAGGGTTTCATCGTGTTTGCCAGGCTGATCTTGAACTCCTGACCTCAAGTGATCTTCCTGCCTTGGCCTCCCAAAGTGCTGGGATTACAGGCATGAGCCACCACACCTGGCCTAGGTATTTCATATAAATAAAGGTCATGTCAATGTTTATATTGCTTTTTTTTTTTTTTTTACTTTAACAATCTTTTATTACCAAACCCCATGCAGGTTTAACGCTTTAACCCACCTAACAGCAAAAAAAGGCATTGCTAACAAGATCAAGGATGAAGGTACAGACCCAATAAAGATTGTGTCTTAAAAAAGAAGGATATATATATATGTGTGTGTATATATATGTGTGTATATATACGTATATATATACACATATATATACACACACATATATACACGTATATATACACACATATATATACGTATATATATACACATATATATACGTATATATATACACACATATATACACACATATATATACATATATATATCTTTTAAAAAATAAAAATCTCCAGTGTTGCAGAAAAAAATATTATAAATTGATTTCAGTCCATAAAAAACAGCATGCAGCAGTTTGTGCTATCTTAAAAACCCCAACTCAGGATAACCCTAGGAGAAAATCACCTCCCCCCATTAAAGAAGAATTCTCTTTTCTATTCTTTCTTGTCTAAATTTCACTGCTTATTCCACAAAACGCCGAAAGAATAACAAGACTCAGTTCACATCCCTCAGCCCTTGTCTGTCTGTTAAGGCCAACACCAAGCGCTGTTCCTTAGGAGTCTTCACCTTTACTACAATCAGAAAATTGAGCCCTAATTTCACGGCCAGATTTCTAGAAACCTGCAAAACCCTCATAGTTCCCTCAAGGAAGGACCTGAAGGCCCCTTGAAAGATCAAGGGAGTATAAGTGTACTTGGCAGAGACTGGAATGCCTGCCAGGCTGGGAAAAGGGGGCCTTTCTACACAAAAACACCCCCTAAAATACCTTGTAGTTGAAAGTCTAACTAGGCAAAACCAAGTAACAGCAGGCATCAAACTATGGTTCTACCTAAAGGGTATATATCTTCCCCCTTTAACCATAAAGGTAAGGCGGGGGGCGGGGTGTGGGGTAAAGAGAGCCAAGTGAGCATTTGACTTCATCTGTCTTCTGAGAAGTTAGCATATTTTAGGCTGAAGCCATGTTGTAGAGACATTTGGCCAAAGGATAGTCTTTGCTATGTGTGGCTATATAAAGCTGCCATTTCTGGGCAACCTGGTTCATGGCTGCTTTATGGAAGCTTTACCCCTTATGCAGAGTATTTAAGAATTAATAGGAAATTTTTCAGTTTGATTTTGTAAGTGACAAATACTTTAACAACAGCTTCCCAATAACCACCAATGGAGACAGACTACTCCTCAGCTCAGGATCATAGCTCCTTCCAGTCAGTGGGCTTCTTGCTAGACATCTGCAGGAGCTCATTGGTCTTAGAAAATTGTCTACATCCAAAGAACCCTCTGTACACGGGAAGGAATGAGCCATCTGCAGCACATGGTGCTGCTTCCTGTGGATGGCACTGCCCTTCTTCTTAGCATAACAGCCCCAGAGCAGAAAGACAAGGCCATTCGAGTTCTGATTTAGCCAGGACACAACCGCATTGGTAAATTGCTCCCAGCCTCCTCTTTCCTTATGAAAATTGGCTTGATGGGGCAGAACAGTGAGGACAGCCTGGAGTAGGAGAACACCTTATTTGGCCCACCCAGATAAATCTCCATGACCAGGATGAATAAAACCATATCTGTAGATGGCTCTTTATAAATGTTTTCCAAACCAGGCAGAGGTGGAACAGGTCTTTGAACACTAAAGCAGCCCATGAACTTGATTCGGTCTCTAATATGGGTCCTGTCCTGGGATGACAACCTTCACATCTCTTATGTCACACATCTGGGTCCAGGTGAAGACTTAGTGTGGGGGTGGATAAACAGTGTAATGTTTCCTTTCTTCTGCGACAAATCCTTTTATCTTGATAAAATAACGTTTCCCGAATTCCATTGAGGTGCTTCTTCCAACTCTCACCAAAGCCCATGGACATGTTACAGGCCATGAGTCTTGAGTAGGGCCACAGCCTCGTTGCTCTGGATACTGACCAACTGCCCAGCAGCAAGAAGGGCAGCGTCTTGGGCTTGTCTTATCTGGCCGGGGCCTTCTTGGCAGGAGCGGCCCCCGCATCCTCACTCTCCTCACCATGGCTGCCCTGCTGGTCCCCAGGTCATCCGGCTCAGGGCTGCAGGCACGTTGCTTCCTGGTGGGGCTGTGGGAACGAATGCACACCACTTGGGGACTGCAAGGCTTGCCCTGGCTGTAGTGTTCAGTAATTGATCTATATTGCTTTTTGACTTACTGAATTGCAGAGTTGGGAGGAACATTAGATCAGTGATTTCTCAGACCATAATGTGCATATGAATAATCTGGAGATCTTGTTATATTGCAAAGGAGGGGCCTAGTTTCTGTGTTTCAAACAGTTCTCAAGTTATAGTGATGCAGTTTCAGGTTCACACAACACACTTCCAGTAGCAAGGCTTTAAATGATTATGAAACGGGAATAATGTCTATCTTTCAGAATCATTTTAAGAATAAGAGATAATACATGTTAAGCATCTCAAAGTGTTTCCGGCACTTTGTAGTTCCCCAGTACATGATTAGCTATATTGTGATTAGTAATACCTTCCTTTATAGAGGAGGAAATGAATTCAGAGAGGTTGTCACTAGCAAAGGTCACATTTGCTTATATATGTTGATGTAAATTGTTTGTGTTACTTAACATATTTCTTATAGATATTTATATGCTAACAATACAGCATTCTCTTATAAGTAGCAGAAGTAATGCTGAATCTTTCAGTGCTCATGTGTATTAAAGAAGAGGGGAAGTAACATAATTTACCTCTACATCTTGCCTGATTATCACAACAGCTCTGTAATGTAGTCAAGAGACTCAGAGAGAATGAATAATTTACTCATGTTCACATGCATAAATAAGTGGCAAAGCTGGAATTTGAACTTGGATCTGTGAATCCAAAGTTCTTATGTTACATCATTGCTACCTCTCACAGCTCCCTGTCTACCACAGGCATTGACATGTGTTATATGTCGACAGGAATAACATTGTTGCTGTTACTTTTTAAATCTTTTGGACCCTTATAATTAGAATAGACATGGTAAAAATAAGAATGATTCAGGTTGAACATTAAAAAAATCTTCTTGGTCATTCAGGTTCTACTTAAAACAGGTACAACTGATTTGAATAAGAAAAAATTGAAGGTGTGGGCATGTCTAACATCCTAATTGCATTTTGCTTTTTCTATCCCTGGTTTGAATTCTTTGTTATAATACATTTTTATGCATTATCTGGGGAAATGATAGGGAACTAGTGAAAAAGAAGACTATGGAAAATATAGCTATCAAAAACTTGGCCAGGTGCAGGGATTACCCCTGTAATCCCAGCACTTTGGGAGGCTGAGGCAGGAGGATCACTTGAGGCCAGGAGTTCAAAACCAGACTGAGCAACATAGTTGAGACCTCATCTCTATTTAAAAAAAAAAAAAATTAGCCAGGAGTGGTGGCATATGCCTATAGTTCCAGCTACTTAGGAGGCTGAGGTGGGAGGATCGCTTGAGCCCAGGAGGTTGAGAGTGCAGTGAGCTGTGATTGTGTTACTGCACTTCAGTCTGGGCAACAGTCAGACCCTGTCTCAAAACAAAACAAAACAAAAATTTAAAAAAACCCTTAATCTACATTAGCATGAGCAATAATTAAAACCAAACCCTTTATTATAATGAAAAAATGTTTTATATAATGGTTGTAATGGTAATGACACTATACATTTGTCAGAATTCATGGAAAGAATGCAGATAAAATTGGTGAATTTCATTTTAATTGATTTAATAAAATTAAACCCATTAGAGAGGTTGACTTGAATTTTTTTTTCTGACCTTTTTTTTTTTTTTTTTTTTTTTTGAGACAGAGTCTTGCTCTGTCGCCCAGGCTGGAGTGCAGTGGCACAATCTCGGCTCACTGCAAGCGTCCGCCTCCCAGGTTCACGCCATTGTCCTGCCTCAGCCTCCCGAGTAGCTGGGACTACAGGCGCCCGCCACCATGCCCAGCTAATTTTTTTGTATTTTTAGTAGAGACGGGGTTTCACCGTGTTAGCCAGGATGGTCTCGATCTCCTGACCTCGTGATCGGCCCCCCTTGGCCTCCCAAAGTGCTGGGATTACAGGCGTGAGCCACCGCGCCCGGCCTCTGACCTTGTTTTTATATAGATTGATCATAATATCAATACTTTCTATTCTCAGTAAATTAGGCTGTCACCAAAGAAAGCTATTATATTCATTTAGACTTGGAGCTCAAAAAGAGACACTTGTTTTTAAAGGAAGGAGCACTGTTGAAATAACAGTCTCTATAACCTCAGGAACAGATTAAGTACATTGCTAGAATGAGCTATAGAAAGGACTGCTATCTTCTGGAATATGTAGGAGGAAAATGTTGTTATGACAAAAATTGGTGAGAATTCAGTCATAGTCCACCATTTCTGTAATTATGATGGCGATTATAGTATTAAGGGAAACAATTGGAAAACTTTAACTTTTATCTGGATGAATCATGATTCAGTTTATTCCTTTCTTATGCCTTCTTACTGTTTAAGATATAATACACAGAGAAGGAATCTCAGTACTGTCTTGCTTGTCTCTAGACGGCTAAGGACAAATTTATGAATGTTTGTGTTTTTTTTTTCTTTTTCTCTGAATTATCTGCTTAGATACAGGGACTCCATTTTTTTCCTACTTACAAGATCTTTAATCCTAGTATTGAGGAAAATGTCACTTACCTAACGTGGAATTGTAGACAACATCTAATGGTAGTTGTTGGTGGTGGTAGACAGGTATTGGGATGAATTTTTTAAAAAAATTTTCTCTAAACCATTCTAAAATGATTTTAAAAGATTGGGTTGTAAAAGCCATTGAATTGAAATTTAGTAGTTAATTTCTAAGGAATGTAATGCTGTTTTTAAAATATTTCTTTACATAGGTGGTTTTGATGATAATTCTCCTCTGAGTTCAGTTGAGCGGTATGACCCCCGAAGCAACAAGTGGGATTATGTGGCAGCACTTACTACTCCCAGAGGTGGAGTGGGAATCGCAACAGTGATGGGCAAAATCTTTGCAGTTGGTGGTCATAATGGCAATGCATACTTAAATACAGTAGAAGCGTTTGATCCAGTGCTGAATAGGTAATTTACATGTTGTCTCCGTGCTTTATATTATCTTCTGGTATAATAGTAGATTACTTCAGAGTGTTAAAATGTTGCTAGTCGTAGTTAATACTAAGCTTTGGGATATCTTATCTCCCACTGGAAGCTTGCTGTCCTACAAAACCAGTCTCACATAGGGAATTTTTGTCTTTGGTTAGTATTTTGAGTAAAGTAAATTATGCTTTGTAACATTTTTTCTTCTCCGTCTTTTCAGGTGGGAGCTTGTTGGATCTGTGTCTCACTGCAGAGCTGGAGCAGGAGTAGCTGTGTGTTCCTGTTTAACTAGCCAAATTCGAGATGTAGGTCATGGATCCAATAATGTGGTTGACTGTATGTGATTTGAGTTCTGGCCACCAACAATTTAGTCATATCTGATAGGTACAAAAGAAAACCAAGATTTTGATATGACCACCTTTCAACACTTTTTACTGCAACTAGAGTCTTATTTAAATGTTAACTGTTGTATTGTGACTAAGTACAACTTTTGGAATGATACCTGAAGAATTATTAGTAATAGAGTTAAATTTGATACTTCCTGCTTTTGCAAATAATGGAGTAGGGAAGAAGATAGTCGAACTTAAAATCATACCTACCCTGAAAAATGCTTAAAGTAGTGCCAAAAATCTTGAAATCTCTCTCTCTCTCTCTATTTGGATGAATCAAAATGTAATTTGTTGAGTTTTGCCTTTTCTTTTGCCTAAAGATGTTAACGTCAGGCAGTGGGTTTTTCCTAGAGGAGAGATTAGTACCTATTCATTAACACAAGGATACATAAGAGACTTGCCCCTTTTGAAGATCATTTCTACTTGGTGCTGATGAATTTATGCCTAGCTTTTTTTTTCTAGGTGGTGATTTTTCAATTTCTTTTATATTTACGGAAGTAGAAAAAATGTTCTGTCTTTTTGAATGCCACTTAGCTGCATTTTCAGAAGCTTATAGGCTATAAGAAGCCTTTAATTTCAGTTTGAATTGCTAGGACACCAAAAGACCTAGCTGGGCTAACTCCATCCAAATGATTTTACAGTTTTATTTTTTCATCTTTTGCAAAAAGTATTTGTTACATAATCAAAAGGTGAACCAGAGGAAATATTGAACAAGGTTTTAGATCTGATGTTATTCTGGTGCCCAATTGAGAGACCTTGAGAAAGAATGATGCAGATTACATGACTCTAATGTGGGCAGTCTGAAAATATCTTTAACTGTCTTCTTTGATCATTTGATTTTGGATCCAAGATTTATCATCTCTCTATTTTGCTATTTGCCACCATCCTGGTTTTTCTGACTGTACAGAATCAATCTGCATTTATTTATTATCAGAAATGAATGCATTTTTACAAAAACCTTTTTGTAGACTGTAGTTTATTGATTAGTTCAAGCCCATCACGAACTAATTAAACATATTGTTGGTAAAAACAGAGATTGAAATTACTGTTTTTATCATATTTAAATCCCTCTGGTGTATTTATTGAAATTTAATTAAAAATATTTCTACATATTGATTTGAAGCCAGGATATTGATGGACCTACAGATTTAACAGCTCTTCAAAGTTTTAACTAGCATTATAAAATGGCCTATTCATTATATGTATATTTTTTTATAAATATTTATCAAGAACATGAAAATATTTTATTTTGTATTTGCAGTGCAGTTTGGCACCTCTCTTCCAGGCCTTCCTAAGTTTTTGTTAGTTGTGTCTTCGAATTTATTGTAGTTCACCGCTGGTCAGTAATCTGGTTCATAAGGAAGCTGGGGCAGTGAAAAACACTTCGTTGATCCATCCAGCCCTAAAGTTCATTGACTAATAGCTCATGCATCTTATTAAATGGGATTCTGGACTTCTACAATAGTGTGGAAAGCCACATCACAAAAAAAGCCACATCACAAAAAAAAGCCAGTGCCTATTGAGTATATCAAACCAAAAAAGAAAAAAAAAAGTTTTAAGAGGGGTCAGGCTGGCAGATAAAAGTCTCTTATGAAGCAGATATAAATCCAGTAAGCTATTTTTTTCTACCTATGGGCAAGTTCATAAGTCATTGCTGGATCTGAACCAGTGTTCTTTTGTGTAAGTACAACCATATTTCAGTCAGTCCAGAGGCAGTTAACCCTGTAGCACTTACTAGACTGGTGACAACTGGCTGGATGTGGAGAATAAGTGTCAAAACCTGGCTTCAATGTCTATTTCTTATGTCTAATGGAGTTCTTATATTACAGTGTTTGTTTAGCTATGGTTACTAATATGTTTGTTATATTTATTTTCGGGGAGAGGATCTTGTTATTGTTTCCTGAGATTATTTAAAATGTTTTTTCTTTGATGTATTTCTGTCTTTCTTATATGTAAGGAGTTATAAGGGTTATTATATTTTCATTTCTGGTTTTTACTATACAATGGTTATCTAACATACTAAGTTGGTACCCTACCTACCCGTAAAATATGAAATACTCAGAAGTAAAGTGTGTGGGCAATCAGAAGCATAGCCTTGAAGGACCTGACAGCAGTATGAAAAGATAAATAGGCCAGGCATGGTGGCTCACGCCTGTGATCCCAGCACTTTGGGAGGCCGAGGTGGGTGGACCACCTGAGATCAGGTGTTCAAGACCAGCCTGACCAACATGGTGAAACCCTGTCTCTACTAAAAGTACAAAAATTAGCCAGGCGTGGTGGCGCATACCTGTAATTCCAGCTACTCAGGAGGCTGAGGCAGGAGAATTGCTTGAACCCAGGAGGTGGAGGTTGCAATGAGCCGAGGTTGAGCCATCGCACTCCAGCGGTGAAACAAGAGTGAAACTCCATCTCAAAAAAAAAAAAAAAAAAAAGATAAAAAAGCAGAATCAATATGTGCACAGTTCTCTTTATCAGGCAAAAACACGTTTATTGAGACATGAAATGAGAATCAGGCTGAAGGAATCATGCAGCTGAAAGATGATTATATTCATAGAAATGAAGAGATGAAATATTCAAAGAAGATGGCTACTTTATTGTGAGACTTACCACTTTAACCTCATATGTTAACAGCACCTACCAAAAAATGATATGAGATAGAGCTAAAATACTGAAATTGCAAATGGACAAAATAAATCATGAAAATTTGTTTATTATTTCTTCAATAAATATTTCTAGGTGCTTTGTGATTCTTTCATTTAGTCATTAAAGCCATTGCTTTACTATATTGCGTTGCCACTTTAAAAACAAGTTACTTGACATTGTTTTTGACAGATTTCACTATATACTTATGTAATTAATTGATTATTTCTAAAATGTTTGAATAAACTTTGTACTCCCTCTAAGGAGTATTTTATTCATTCTTTTAATTCCCAAATGAACTTTGAACTTACAGTGCTGTTGAATGCCTTGGTAAGGACTTCTTGAAATTGCATAAACTATTCTTGTAAATGGTAAACTTGAGAATTTTCTTTGTTTCTTTTTTCTCTATGTCTTAAAGAATGCCTTTAGAATCTAATTCATGTTGTATCAGTTAAGAATGTTTCTGTGGTTTCTCGTATCAGATGTGTAAAGAAATTATTACTGGGATGCCATTGGCTATGTCTCTTTCCCCTTCATGTAAAATTCCAAGTGTCAGTAAAACTTCTCTATAATATTTTCTTAAAACCATTTATAAATTTGTGTTATAATACTCCAGAAAATCAATGTAATAAGTGGTCATATATATCACCAACTATGGATATCAAAAAGTTGGGGTCACATCAGTGCTATTTATTTAATTAAAATACATTGCATATTTCTATTAGCACAAACTTCTCTCTAAAAGGTCTGTGTAACTGCTTCTCATCATTATTTGATTGCTGTTATGGGATCCTGTCAAAACTGTGTAATTGTTTATTCTCCATTCCTCAAATACAAAATTGAGTAGGTTGGCTATATTTTTCTCCTTATATGAAGGATCTTTATGTTTAACTGAAAATTTTAGAAAGCTTTTCGTTTTCCCTTATGAAAATTAAAGGTTGAAGGTAACTGATGTAAGTAGTTTCACTGATCTTAAGCAGTTGTCTCTTCAGTAATTGCAGACTTGTACTATATAGAAATGAGACTATGCATTAGGATGACTGTTGTCCTTCCAAGTAGAAACCTTGCAAAGTTGTAGCTTTTTAAAAAAATTAAGGTTGCCATTGCTAAAACTTCTTTTGAAACTCATCTTTGAAAATAGCCTGAAGAGATCATTTGTAAGTCACTCAAAAGAATTAGTCTCATCATAGTCATATGTTAATCTTGACCAAAATCTTAACTTGATTATTCATCAAACATGATTGAAAATATTTCATGTCTATTTTCATAGGTAAAATCTACTTTCAAAGAAGTGAGGTTTTTCATCTACTGGTAAAAATGTTTTCAACACTAAACAGTTTGAATGAAATATTTCTAAAATCCTGAGCAATGGCAAGGTCAGTGAAAGAAGTGTATAGTCTCTTTGAGAGGCAACCTTATTTGAATGCAGAAATTCTGGTGCGTTTTTTGTTGTTTTTAACAAGTCACTCTTCCATTATCTTAGTGGTTTGAGGCTAAGTTCAGTAGAATATAAGGGGTTTCTTAGATATGAGTAATAGTTATGGGGAGTATTAGCTATCATTTAAAAAAATGTATCGCCTGTACCAGTCACTTAATAACATTTCTCATCTTTACAGTAATTTGATACTTCACCGTTAAAAAAAAGGTTCAAAAGTTAAAAAGAAAATAGATTCAAAGACATTAAATAACTAGTTGAAGATCACAACTAAGTTAGTGATTGACTAATATTCTTTGTGACTAAAAAACTCAACTGCTCCACCTATATCAGTTATACATACTTCTGCATTCACTAGGTAATACAGTATGCATACATTAAGAAAAGATCATTTCCTTTTTTTGTAGTCTCTTCTTAGCAGTATGAAAGTATTTCTGGTCACTACATTTCTCTTTTGTTGTTGTTGTTGTTGTTGTTGTTGTTGTTTTTTGAGATAGAGTCTCACTCTGTTGCCCAGGCTGGAGGGCAGCAGCATGATCTCGGCTCACTGCAACCTCCTCCTCCTGGGTTCAAGTGATTCTTCTGCCTCAGTCTCTTTTTATTTTATTTTATTTTATTTTATTTTTTGAGACAGAGTCTCACTCTATCGCCCAGGCTGGAGTGCAATGGTGTGATCTTGGCTCACTGCAACCTCCGCCTCCTGGGTTCAAGTGATTTTCTTGCCTCAGCCTCCTGAGTTGCTGGGATTACAGGTGTATGCCACCACACCTGGCTAATTTTTGTATTTTTAGTAGAGATGGGGTTTCACCATGTTGGCCAGGCTAGTCTTGAACTCCTAACCTCAAATGATCCGCCCATCTCGGCCTCCTAAAGTGCTGGGATTACAGGCGTGAGCCACCATGCCTGGCCTGGTCACTACATTTCTATAGGTAGTATTTGATGCATACATAAAAATATATGCAAGATGAAGACATAATAATAAAATACCTATGAAGCCACCCACTAAGAACTGGAGCCTTTCTGGTAGTATTAACCCTACCTTTGTGTTCCTTCTCAATTCCAATCCCCAGCCTACTCTTTAGGGGTAACCACCTCCTTGAATCTATCATTTCTTTTTTTTTTTTTTTTCCCTTTTGGTTTTTTTTTGAGATGGAGTCTTGCTCTGTCTCCCAGGCTGGAGTGCAGTGGCGTGATCTCGGCTCACTGCAAGCTCCACCCCCCGGGTTCACGCCATTCTCCTGCCTCAGCCTCCCAAGTAGCTGGGACTACAGGCACCTGCCACCATGCCCGGCTAATTTTTTGTATTTTTGTTAGCCAGGATGGTCTCGATCTCCTTACCTTGTGATCTGCCCACCTCGGCCTACCAAAGTTCTGGGATTACAGGTGTGAGCCACCGCACCTGGCCTCCCTTTTGCTTTCATACATATGTCCCATGGCTATATATCGTTTATTTTTGTGAACTTTATAAAAAATAGTATCATCCTGGCGGGGCGCAGTGGCTCACGCCTGTAATCCCAGTACTTTGGGAGGCCGAGGTGGGCCGATCACGAGGTCAGGAGTTTGAGACCAGCCTGGCCAACATAGTGAAACCCCGTCTCTACTAAAAATACAAAAATTAGCCAGGCATGGTGGCATGCATCTGTAGTCCCAGCTACTCGGGAGGCTGAGGCAGGAGAATCGCTTGAACCCGGGAGGTGGAGGTTGCAGTGAGCTGAGATCGCGCCATTGCACTCCAGCCTGGGCAACAGAGCAAGACTCCATCTCAAAAACAAACAACAAAAAAGTATTCTTTATGTAGTCTTATGTAACTTGTTGTTTTTATTCAACAGGTTTATTTTTACAATTTATTTTCTTGGGTCTAGTTTTTCTTTTTTTTTTTTTTTTTGCTTTTACAAACAATGCTGAAACGAACATTCATATCCAATTTTTTGGTGCTCATGTCCAAGAGTTTCTTTAGCATATAAACCTAGATTCAAAGTTGGTGGTTTGTAAGGCATGTGCCTGATCAGCTTTTTAACAGTTTTACAAGATAATGCCAAATTGTTTTCCAAACTGGTTGCACCGCTTTACAGTATGGTTTCTTATTTACTTGCTATCATAAGACCCAATTCTTTCCAATCTGTTAGGTGTAAAATGGTATTTTATTGTGGCTTTAAATTGCATTTTCCTTATGAATGTGACAGCACTCACTTCACTATAAAAGAAAACATGCATTTTTCTGATTAATAAGTTAAAAACATTTTCATGTTTATTAGTCATTCCTGTTCTGTGAAATATGTCTTGATGTCTTTTATTTTTCTGTTTTTGCTCTTATTTAAGAGTTTTTTGTATTTAGGATATTGATATTTTTGTTGTTTTTTTGTTGTTCTTGCACATATCTTCATCCAGTTTGTAGCTTTTCACTTTGGGTTTTTTTGTAAACAAAATTTAATATTTTCAAACGTGAGTTATTTTTATGTTTTAAGAAATTTGTCCTATCCCAGGGTCATAGTTGCTCAATGTTGCTTCTGAAAATCAAAAAAGTGTCTCAGTTAAGTTTTTAGCCTACCTGGAATTGATTTGTGTATGTGTGATATAGATTTAAAATTTTATTTTTTTACTATGTAGAAAATCAGTTTTCCCTGCGCCGTTTATTGACTAATGCATCCTTTCCTCAGAGGCTTTACTTACATGGAAATTTGCCATTGTAGCCAAATGTTTATTTGGGGACTTCCTGTTCTGTTCCATTGGTCAGTTTGCCTAAGCAAGGGCCAAGTAGCACATTATTTAATTGTTATAACTTGATTATATGTCTTGATACCTGACAAGGGTAGTCTCTTACCTTTGTATTTTTCTTAAGGAATGTTCTTGGCCTTCTGGTTTTGTTTTTTGTTGTTGTTGTTCTGAGACAGGGTCTTGCTCTGTCGCCCAGGCTGGAGTGCAGTGGTATGATCATGGCTCATTGTAGCCTCAGCCTCCCTGGGCTCAGGTGATCCACCACCCCCACGACCCCCACCTGCCTCCCCTCCCTCCACTCTTCCACCCCACCTCTCTGTGTTGTCCAGGCTCGTCTTGAACTCCTGGGCTCAAGCAATTCTCTCGCTTCAGCCTCCCAAAGTGCTGGGATTACAGGTATGAGCCACCATGCCTGGCCTGCTTTTTAAATTCAGTATGAGAATCAGTTTGTAAAATTCCTTGGGGATAAAAAGCAAATAGCTGTAGGAAATTTCTTTTTCTGTCCCCCCCCCCTTTTTTTTTTTGAGACAGTGTTTCACTCTGTCACCCAGGCTAGAGTGCAGTGGTACAAACATGGCTCACTGTAGTCTCAAACTCCTGGGCTCAAGCGATCCTCCCACCTCAGCCTCCCAAGTAGCTGAGACCACAGGTGCACACCATTAGGCCCAGCTAATTTTTAAATTTTTTGTAGAGACAGGGCCTCGCCATGTTGCACAGCTGGTCTTGAACTCCTGGCCTCAAGCGATCCTCCTGGCTTCAGCCTCACAAAGTGCTGGGATTATAGGTATTGAGCCGCTGTGCCCAGCTTCCTTTCTCTCCCTATCTCTCTTTCTCTTTCTTTCAACTAGAATCACATTTAAAGATTAATTAGGGAGTATTGACAGTGCTACAATATTGAATCTTCCTTGGTTTTGCTACTCTGTCAGAGCAAGGAAGTTCCAGTTTGCTGAGCTTTTTAGAAAAATTTGTACATATTGATAGGTTGCATGTAAAATTTTGTTGCATGTATATAATGTATCGTGATCAAGTCAGAGTATTTAGAGTGTCCATCACCCAGCTATGATTTTGTTAACTGTAGTCACCCTACTCTGCTATCAAACATTGAATTTAATTATATCTAACTATATGTTTGTACTCTTTAACCTACTTGTCTTCATCCTCCCCCGTCCCCTGCCCTCACCCTTCCCAGCCTCTATTATCTTTCCACTGTCTACCTCCATGTGATCAAATTTTTTAGCTCCCACATGTAAGTAAGAACATGTGATATTTGTCTTTTGTGCCTGGCTTATTTCACCTAACATAGTGACTTCCAGTCCATCCATGTTGCTGCAAATGGCATGATTTCATTCTTTTTCTTATGGCTGAATAGCGTTCCATTGTGTGCATATGCCACGTTTTCTTTATCCATTCATGCACTGGTGAACACTTAGGTTGATTTCATATCTTTGCTATCGTGAATAGTGCTGCAATAAACATGCAAGTGCAGGTATCCCTCTGATGTATTGATTTCTTTTCCTTTGGGTAGATACCTAGTAATGAGATTGCTTGATCGAATGGTAATTCTGGTTTTAGTTTTTGAGAAATCTCCATAGTGACTGTACTAGTTTACATTCCCACCAACAATATATAAGAGTTTCTTTTTCTCTGCATCCTTGCCAATATCTGTTATTTTTAATCTTAATAGCCATTCTGACTGGGGTAAGATATTGTTGTGGTTTTGATTTATATTTCTCTGATGATTGGTGATGTAGAGCATTTTTTCATATACCTGCTGGCAATTTGTGTGTCTTTCGAGAAATGTCTATTCAGATCATTTGCCCATTTTTAAAGTGGATTATTTGTGTTTTTTTTTTCTGTATTGTCCCGTAAGACCTGAGATTATTTGTTTTGTTTTGCTATTGAATTGAATTCCTTGTGTATTCTGGATATTCATCCCTTGTCAGATGGAGAGATTGTACATTATTTTCTCCCATTCTGTGTGTTGTCTCCTCATTCAATTGATTGTTTCCTTTGCTGTGCAGAAGCTTTTTAGCTTGATGTAATTCCATTTGTCTATTTTTGTTTTTGTTTCTGGTGCTTTTGAAGTCCTACACAAAAAATCTTTGACCAAAACAGCGTCCTGAAGTGTTTCCCCAATGTTTTCTTTTAGTAGTTTCATAGTTTCAAGTCGTACATTTAAGTCTTTACTCCATTTTGATTTGCTTTTTGTATATGGTAAGAGATAGGGGTTTAATTTCATTCTTCTGCATATGGATATCCAGTTTTCCCAGCACTATTTATTGAAGAGACTGTCCTTTCCTTACTGAATGTTCTTGGCACTTTGTTGAAAATCAGTTGACTGTAAATATGTGAATTTATTTCTGGGTTCTCTTTACCGTTCCATTGGTCTGTGTGTCTGTTATTATGCCAGTACCATGCTATTGGGGTTTCTATAGTTTTATAGTATCTTTTGAAGTCAGGTAGTATGGATACCTCCAGCATTACTCTTTTTGCTCAGGAATGCTTTGACTATTCAGGGTCTTTTGTACTTTCATGTGTGTTTTAAGATTTTTTTTTTTCTATTTCTGTGAAGACTGACACTGGTATTTTGATAGGGATTGCACTGAATTTATAGATTGCTTTTGGAATTATGGTCATTTTCACAATAGTAATTTTTCTGATTTAGAAACATGGAATGTCTTTCCATTTATTTATGACTTCTTCGGTTTCTTTCATCAGTGTTTTATAGTTTTGCTATGGACATCTTTCACCTCCTCAGTTAAATTTATTCCTATGTATTTTATTTTTATGGGGAGCTATTGTAAATAGGATTGCTTTCTTGATTTCTTTTTCCACTAGTTCATTGTTGGCGTATAGAAATACTACTGATTTTTGTATATTAGTTTTGTGTCCTGCAACTTTACTGAATTCATTTACCAAATCTAACAATTTTTTTGGCAGAGTCGAGGCTTTTCTAGATGTAAGATTATATTCTCAGTGGGGAGCGACAATTTGGAAGCCTTTTATTTATTTCTCTTGCCTAATTGCTCTGGCTAGACTTCCTCTGTTTCTTTGGTTTCTATCTTTTTTATTTCTCTGGGCATTTCATACATAGTTATCTTTATATCCTGTAGCCAGTAATTCCAATATCTGAAGTCCCTTGAGGGTCTAAATCTGTTTATTGTCTCTGTTGAACTTTTCCTTATGGTATGTCATTCTTCCTGTGTTTGGTGATTTTTATTTGTAAATATATATTTAGTAGAACCTGTTGAGAATCCAGAGGTTCTTTAATTGGGAATGTGCTCCTTCAGAGAGGTTTCACATTTGTGTCTCTAGGCTAGGGAACAAAACTGACCTGGGGCATTTTAGCTTTCTTCTTGGCTCCTCCTTTTGCTATGGGTCCAGAACTTGGTCTCTCAGTCCCAGCGCTGATAATGGCATTTGTCCTCAGGGCAACTTTGGTTTTCCTGTTTAGTTACCACTCCTGCTCAGGTTCCATCTCTTATATTGGCCTTTCAGTGTCCCTGCTTTCTTGAGAGCCCAGTAAAGCATTTTTAAAAGTATATTGTTTATAATTGAACTAGGAACTAATAGTAATGGGAGAGCCCTTTGGATGATCTTGTCTTTTATAACCCCATAAACCACTACCATTCTAGAAGCCAAAGAAAAGACATAGTTTTGTCTTAATATTCACTAATTTTTCTCTTGTGTACCACTAGCCTCCTCTGAAATTTATGTGTTGAAGACGTTCCATAGACCAGGGGGCCCCCGTCCGCGGGCCTCAAATCAATACTGGTCCGTGGGCTGTTGGGAACGGAGCTGCACAGCAGGAGGTGAGCGGCAGGCCAGTGAGCATTACTGCCTGAGCTCCGCCTCCTGTCAGACCAATGACAGCATTGGATTCTCATAGGGGAGCAAACTTTATTGTGAACTGCGCATGTGAGGGATCTAGGTTGCAATCTCCTTATGAGAATCTAATGCCTGATGAGCTGAGGTGGAATAGTTTCATCTCCAAACCACCTGTCCCCACCCCTGCCCTGTCCGTGGCAAAATTGTCTTCTGCAAAACTGGTCCCTGGTGCCAAAAAAGTTGGAGACTGCTGCTTATAGACCTTAACAGAGCTTTCTTTTTTTTGAGACAGGGTCTTGCTTTGCTGCCCAGGTTGGAGTGCAATGACGTGAACATGACTCACTGCAGCCTTGACCTCCCGGGCTCAAGTGGTTCTCCCACCTCTGTCTACTGAGTAGTAGGCACTACAGGCCCGCACCACTATGCCCGGCTAATTTTGATATTTTTGTAGAGACAGGTCTTGCTAAGTTGCCCAGGCTGGTATGAACTGCTGGGCTCAAGCAATCCTCCTGCCTCAGCCTTCCAAAGTGCTGGGATTACAGGCCAGAACGAGCCTTTTGATCTCATATATTATTATACCTGAAGTTTCTTAAGTAAATTTAAACTAGTTTATAAAAGGATAATTCAGGAAATGTAAAATTACTTGGTATGGATATGCCTGTCACTTCAAGTGTCTCTCTTTGCCCTGAATATCTCAAGTTATTAGTTATTTTATATAACATCAGACCCTTAGCACATTGATGTGTTTTAAATCCCTTCATAAATATGACTCCAAAGTACTGATGGAGAGTCAGAAAATAATTGCATTCTGCTTGAAACTTTACAACCTTCCTTTTTAAACAAATGTTTCTGTTTAATGTAACAAATGTAATGGCCTTTGGCCAAAAGTAATAAAATTCTTACTTGATCATAAATTCCTAAATTTCCCTAGTCTGTTTGCAAACAGTGAGCTTTTTTCCTGTCTGAAAAGCCAGAGCTCAGGACCGAATGACATAGTGGCTATTTGTATTACATTCTAATACACAGTGCTCTAGTTTTCTTTCTTTCACTTGTTTCATTTCCCAGTACCTATTCTAATGCAGTGCTAAATCAGTGTGTTTTTTGTTAGCTTTATTGAAGTATGATTTATATTAAATTCACCCACTGTAAGTGTACATGGTGATTCAGTAAACCTGTAGCATTGTGCCAGCCTCATCATAATCCAGATTTGGAACACTTTCATCATCCCCCTGAAATTCTCATGAGCCTGTCTGCAGTCAGTCCCCACTCCTCCCCTCCTTTCTCTTCACCCTAGGTAGCCACTGATCTGCTTTCTGTCTATAAATTTGTCTTTTCTGGGTATTTCATATAAATTGAATCACACACTATATTTAATCTTTTGCATCTGGCTTCTCTCACTTAGCATAATATTTTTGAGGTTCACTTCATCCATAGTGTAGAATTTTTTATAGCTGAATAGTATTCCCTCATATGCATATATCACATTTTGTTTATTCATTCACCAATAATGGTTGTTTGGATTGTTTCCAATTTTTGTCTATTATGTGTGATGCCATGAATGTTCATGAACATATCTTAATTGACCATATGCTTTCATTTATCTTGGGTAGTTTCATATACGTGGAATTGCTGGGTTTTATTGTAACATGATTTTAACTTTTTAAGAAACTGCAAACTGTTATCCAAGTGGCAGTACCATATGTTTCCATCAGCAACATATGAGATTTCCAGTTGCTCCTTGTCCCCTCCAACACTTGATATTGCCTTTTCCTTTGATTATATCCATTCTCCTGGGTGTGAGACATGGTGTCATTGTGGTTAAATGAATGTACAGTGCTTTCAAACAGCATCTTTTTCCTAAAGAAAATGATTGCCCTCTAGTGGCTCATTCTGCACATTACACTTGGGAAAGGGGCACTAATGAGAAGTCTAAAGCTCAGAACAGGCTTGTTAAAATTTACATTCATTTCACAGCATCCCTGGTTTAGCACACTGAACACAATTTGAGTCCAGTTTCAAAATGTTTTACTTCATTACTACTATTAATAATACCCAGGAGCTGAGCTGGTTGGCTGTGGCTTTTACATAATCCCAAGAGGTACATTATAGTCAAAACTAAATTTGTGTGCTTTAGATCTTATCCACTTTATGCACTAAGATCTTTTGCTATAACAAGGGTTTAGACCTGTAGAGTGGCTAACGCCTACAAAGAAGGGGAAAAAAGGCCAGAGATGGTTATTGTTTACTCAAACCTATTACATCCTTTCAAATCAGAGCCAGAGGAATAAATCATTTTTACTAGTGGAATGAATATAAATTCTTTTTAATGAATTGGACACAAATGTGTCTGGTGGCTTGTTGGTATTTTCAGGTAACACCTTGTAAATATGCCTATGGAGAGTTGTAAAAATTTAGGAGACTAGGTCTCGGCTGCTCCTAGGGCTCTGCTGAAAGGACAGAACACTATGCATGTTTAAAAAAAAAAAAAAAAAGTTAAAACTTTGAGCTAAGTAAGGAACCTGGCCAGGGATTTACTTATTTAAGGCATGTGTATTTGGTAAGTAAAAAAAGATGTGGCTTCAGGAAATTAGGGTAGTAGAAGCAAACATTTAATGATTTAACATAAGAAGTTTTTGCTTTAAAGCTATCACTCACACAGGTGATGTCATTTATTTTTTAGAAAGTGGAGAGAATGTATATATGTGAAATTTCCCTGAGCTCTTAGGCTTTAGATTTCCAAATTACCCAACAATGCATTTTATTGTCCTGACATGTCTATGAAATCACATGTATACATGTGTGTATTTTACGCCTGAACACAGAATAGCAGAGCCTGATGGATGGGACTGCCTATGGTTGACCTACTGCTTTACTCAATTTGAGGTAAGGGGAAGGAGGGGGCATTTTTGTATGTGACATTGGGTACACAGTGATTCCACTCCTTAGTAAGTATGGTCCACTCCACTTATCAGTTAGAGGTGGATAAGGGAGTATAAAGATTAGGATAAGAGAACATTTAGCCAAGTCTAGGGGGTAAGCTTTGGATATGAGGAAGGAGATTAAGATAATTTTTAAACATGTATCAGAACCTATAAAATGTTGACACTATGAATACTGGGTTTTTTTGTTTGTTTGAGACGGAGTTTTGCTCTTGTTGCCCAGGCTGGAGTGCAATGGCACGATCTTGGCTCACTGCAATCTCTGCCTCCTGGGTTCAAGCAATTCTCCTGCCTTAGCCTCCCGAGTAGCTGGGACTACAGGCATGCGCCACCACACCTGGCTAATTTTGTATTTTTAGTAGAGACGGGGGTTTCTTCATGTTGGTCAGGCTGGTCTCAAACTCCTGACCTCAGGTGATCTTCCAGCCTCGGCCTCCCAAAGTGCTGGGATTATAGGTGTGAGCCACCGCGCCTGGCTGAATACTGGTTTTTAAAGAATTAACATGGAGGTTTTAAACTTACTCCAATGGTGCTGCCATCATTGCCCAAAGAAAACAACTTAGGTAGATACTGAAATTATCTAATAGGGACACATTTTTATCCTCTGTCTTTTGCAATTGTGTTTTGGAGCCAAGTCTGATGAGTTATTTATGTGGATAGTATTGTTTAACTCTTTGTAGAAAAGCAACCATAAAATAAATAGGATGTACCTATGCTTGCACATAGTTCTGAAGACAGTTTTTTTTGTTGTTGTTATTGTTGTTTTTGAGACAGAGCCTTGCTCTGTCGCCCAGGCTGGAGTACAGTGGCGCAGTCTAGGCTCACTGCAACCTTCGCTTCCCGGGTTCAAGCGATTCTCTTGCCTCAGCCTCCTGAGTAGCTGGGACTACAGGTGTGTGCCACCACATCTGGCTAATTTTTGTATTTTTAGTAGAGACAGGGTCTCACCATGTTGGCCAGGCTGGTCTCAAACCTCTGACCTCGTGATCCGCCCACCTCGGCCTCCCGAAGTGCTGGGATTACAGGCGTGAGCCACTATGCTGGGCCCTGAAGGCAGTTTTAAATAATTTTGTTGTAAATTTGTTTTGAACTGTGGTAATACATGTGAAGAAACCACCAAGATGATTTTAAAGGACAGTGGTCTTTTTAATAAGTTCTGTGTATCTTTTTAGATTTTAATACACCATCTTTAACAGGGAAATATTTGATTACCAGTATCTTTATCTCATACACTTCAGGATATCATATTTCAACTCCTTCCTTTTTTCTTACAGATGAGGAAATATAGTACCAGACATTCATGTAACTTGTGCAAGGTAAAGGATGGTAATTCAGTGCCATATTTTTTATTTCTGGTTGGCTGTTTTGCCTGGACAGTGTAAGGCAGGTGAGGGGGCCAAGGCATTCAAACTTCAGGGTCACTAGCTTCAGAATTAAAGTTTTATTCTGCCCCTATACTCTCAAACTTGGAGGACCCTGGGGGAATTTATACTCTTGCCTGTTTCAGTTACTATTTCTTATTTCCTGGGATTTTACCCATTAAAGCTTAGTTTACATTATTCATGACTTAAAAACATTTACTTTATGCTCATTTCTTGAAATGTGTGTTACACTAACATTTACTTGTGTTTTATTAAACTTTTATTTATTAATACATGTCTTCATGCAAATAAGGAAAGAAAAACTATCAATTTTAGCTGTCACTAGAGGTGCACTAGTGTCTTGACTAGTGCTGGTAAATGGAGAAAATCCACAGGGCAACATGGAAAGCAGCATTGGATGGGGTGATCCCCCATGTGCTTCTAATGATGCATTAGAAGAGTTGCTAATCACTGCAGATTTTTAGGACTTCTTTCTCAAGCTCCAGTTTATAAAGCCTCTAAGGCCTATTAACAGTCCAGTCTTATTACCTGTCTAATTGTCTATAGTACAATCCAAAAGTGGTTAAATGGTAACAGTGTTTAAGACTGGCTGCAGATTACATTAAAGCAACTTATAAAACCACATTTTCACTAGTTTATTCTCACAAGCAAAACCCCCTTCGTAACTTGAAGTCAGACAAATCTGTATCATCTGAGCTTCACCTTTTACTGGCTCCCTAACCATGGACAGATTACAGTTGTCCCTCTGTTGTTGGGTTCTGCATCTATGGATTCAACCCACTGTGAATTGCAAATAATTGAGGGCATGGGGGTGGCGAAAGGGATGGTGTTGCATCCGTTCTGAACAGGCACAGACTTTCATACTGTCATTCCCTAAACAATGTAACAACTATTTACATAGCATTTACATTTTATTAGGAATTATAAGTAATCTAGAGATGATTTAAAGTATAGGGGAGGATGTGTGTAGATTATATGAAAATACTTCACCATTTTATATCAGGGACTTCAGCATCCTTGGATTTTGGTATGGGGGAAAATCCAGGATCCAATCCCCCATGGATACCAAGGGATGACTGTACTTATCTTGGGCTCACGTGTCATCTGTAAAGCATAATGACTAATTTGAAAGAAAGATGGTTTCAAAGTACAAGCAATGGAAGGTACGTAGGGCATGTGGCTTCATATATACTTCTTTCCCCTTCTCCACAATTTTACTTTTTTAGGTCAGTGTTGTGCTATAATGACGGGAATGTATCATGGATGTAGGAAAGGGGAAAATGCTGGTTGACTCTGTTTTGCTGTGGGGAATTCCAGACAAATACATAGGTACAAGAGGAGTGCTGTCCTCCACCTGTCAGATAAACTGGCTTATGCTCTGCTCTCAAGCTTGAAATAATCTGAACAGTGGGTCCACAGGGTGCTAGTTTTAGAATAGTGACATCTGTGTTAAGAGGAATGGCTGAAAGCAGAGACAATGGCTAGTTGAATGGAAAAACACCAGGTCTCAAGTTACCTGTAACTTGGGTAGAGACATGTCATCCAGGAGCTGGGCACCCTAACCTATGCTTTAATGCCTACACACATACTGAAGCATGTAATTTTACACAAAGGAATCACTGAAACTATTGATTGGATGTGAGTAAATTTCACAAGGACAAGAAACCAGTCTCCTCTTTTTAACCTTCATTCAAGATAAGCAAATATCAGGTTAATAGGACTATAGTTAAGTTCAGGACTGACATTTGGCAAACAATTTTAGATTTGATCTCTCTAGGCCATAAAGACAATCCATGATGAAATTCATATTCATTCAGTGGGTTTCAAAACTGCCAATGTTAAACAGCTTCCACTTTATCCAGAATAAATATCATTTGCTTGGACAAGTAGTAAAAAGATATTAGTGGAGCTTCAAATGCCAAAGATCCTGAGTTGGTGACACACATAAAGTCTCACTCAAGGATTGATCATTTTTTCCTGTAGCATTTGTAAGAAGAAAGGTAAAGGTGGGAACTGTTGTAAGCAGCTCACAGGTGATACCTACTGAGGTGTAGGCAGTGGAGCAAACTCAGGAAGAGTCATGCAGTTGACTGGAGGCAATCAACCTTGTACAACCTTCTTACTCTACAAACTAGTAGGCAAAAGACAATCTCAGAAAATGAACTAAGTACAGGAATAGGCAATCCATAAAGTCACACAAATGACCAATGGACTTGTGATAAAATGGTTCACTTCATTTGTCAGATAAATGCAATTAAAGTACTGTAAGATTTGTTTTTTGCACTGCACTCACGACTGGCAAAAATGTAAGATCATCTGCAGTTGGTGGGGAAGGTAGTTTGGTAACATCAAATTTGTTTTTTTGAGACAGTCTTGGCTCTGTCGCCAGGCTGGAGTGCAATGACGCAATCTCGGCTCACTGCAACCTCCACCTCCTTGGTTCAAGTGATTCTTCTGCCTCAGCCTCCCAAGTAGCTGGGAGGACAGGTGCGTGCCACCACGCCCAGCTAATTTTTTTTTTTTTTTTTTTTTTTTGTATTTTTAGTAGAGACAGGGTTTCACCATGTTGGCCAGGATGGTCTTGATCTCTTGACCTTGTGATCCACCTGCCTCAGCCTCCCAAAGTGCTGGGATTACATGTGTGAGCCACCACACCCGGCCTGTAACATCAAAAATTTAAAATTTAGCTTATGCTTTGACCCAGACATTTCCCTTCCAGGAATTTATCCTATAGAATACTTGTAAGAATGTACAAAGATGTTGTGTACTACGATTCCTTCAGTACATTGTTGTAACCACAGAATATTGTGGGGAGGAGTGACTTGTGCCCATAATGGGAAAATGTTTAAATAAATGGTGGCATATCTTATTACATGGTACTTTGTAGCCAAAATATGCTGGACATTGAAAAAGGACTGATACACAGTGTAAAAAACAATGCACAGAAAAGTTGTAGAAAGATAGATACGCACGAACTTAATGGCCGTAGAATCTGGGGAGGAAGTACACTTGCCCTTTCACTTTTTGCTCTGTATGCCTCTATATAGTTGTCCCTTGGTATAAGTGTGGGGTTGGTTCCAGGATCCCCACAAATACCAAAATCCATGGATGCTTAAGTCCCTTTGTAAAATGGCACAATATTTGCATATAACCTCTGCACATCCTCCCATATACTATAAATCATCTCTACATTACTTTCAATACCCAATACAATAACTACACATCACTTCATTCGCGTGGATGCAACACAGTACTTGGCACATGGCAAATTCGTTTTGTCTTTTAGAACTTCGTGGGAATTTTTCACCCTGAATATTTTCTATCTCCGTTGAATCCACCAATGCAGCACCCATGGATATGGAAGGCTAACTGTAATTTGTTTTACTATTTATTTGTAAATCAGCTTAAAAATAGGATGGAAAAATTACATTCTCGTGTATATGTAAGCTTGGGAAGCTCTTTAAAACCACTCTACCAGGATCACTTGCTTCTTCCCTTGAGATTGTGAATTCCTCAGTTGCAGTCCTGGGTACCAAGTTTTACCTGCACAAGGAGTTTCTTCAAAGATTGTAGTTCAAAGATGGAAAACTAAAGGCATTTTTCTGTAGTTCATTCAGTTGAGCACGACTGGTTTTCCACATCCAGTAGTGTGAGTATTCCTAAGAAAATATGTGCTCATGCACCTTTTTTGAGAAGGGGTTGGTAGTGTTTCTTAGAGGATAATTTATAGGAATAGTTAGCAGTGAAGATATCAGAACCTGTAATTGTTTCTTCCTCCTACACATGAAATAAGGTAAATGAGATGTTAGGACTGGGCCTCCATAATAGAGAAGGGTGATTTAAAGCACTTATCCAGGGGAGGCACATGGTCTTTTTAAAGCTAAAATAGAATTGTGTGTTCAAAGAGCATTTCAAGGCCTGCCCTCAGTCTGTTGGAAGGGCAAAGTCCCTTATTATCAGAGCCTTGGTGTCTCAGTACAGTCTTGCTTTCAGCTGAGTGTGGTCTACTGGAAAACCACAAACGCTGAAAGAGTCCTGTTCCTCAGACAAAACAGACTAGACAGTACAATTATCTAATCACTACCAAAGTAACAGCAGATAAACCTCCGATTATATTCTGGTAAAGACACATGGGGCTTCAAAGTTATTTGGAATGGATTTGAGGGTTCTAAGCACCACCTAGATGACTTACTTAAAAGTAGCCTGGATTGTGACCATTTACATTCCTGACAACCCTGGCAAATAGTGAGCCAGTACCTATTCAAATAATGCAGGCTCCAAAAGTGCCTAGATACTTGCGAATACAATAACACAAAGGGAGACTACCACTTTAACCTCACAGAGTAGTTGCCAGTATTCAGTGATAGTAAAACTGCCTTGTACAGCATCTGGGAAATAGTCTGTATGCACCTTATGGAGACATCAAAAGTCGGCAAGGACACTGCCGACTTAAATTTTTTTTTTAAAGCCCAGCATAATACAAATAAAAAACTTAATTTGGAGAGAAATACTTAACAAAAGGTTAATATCCTCTAAATACATAAATCAAAAGGAAAAAGATGCATTTTTCAGCCTGGTGGATCATCTTTCTTTTCTTTACTGCTCAGCATCCCCTTCCTTATTAGCAGAACCCTTCCGAGTGGTGAACTCAATCTATATAACTGGTGAAAACAGGTTTCCCCCCATCTACCAAGATGGGCATTTGAACTGGGTCTAGAATACTAGTCACATAACCCATGCACTGCAAATGGCAGCTTAATGTGAGGGAAAAATACTCTATCATGGAATAAAACACACCAGGGACACCATTTGCCACCTATCAAGTTCGGTGACTTTTCCCTTTCCCCTTTTCCAACATAATACCCAGGTTAGATAAAGGATTAGGAAAATAGATACTCTGAAAATGTGATAAAGCTTTTTTTTTTTTTTTGAGATGGAGTCTCACTCTGTCACCCAGGCTGGAGTGCAGTGGCGCGATCTCGGCTCACTGCAAGCTCTGCCTCCCGGGTTCACGCCATTCTCCTGCCTCAGCCTCCCGAGTAGCTGGGACTACAGGCACCCACCACCACACCCGGCTAATTTTTTTGTATCTTTAGTAGAGATGGGGTTTCGCCATGTTAGCCAGGATGGTCTCAATCTCCTGACCTCGTGATCCGCCCGCCTCAGCCTCCCAAAGTGCTGTGATTACAGGCGTGAGACACCGTGCCCGGCCGATAAAAGTTTTCTATGGGTTATCTGACAATAACAAGAGCCTGTAAAATATACTCTTCCCATTCTTTAACTCCCAATGAAGTAATCTTTTTAGCAAGGATCATCAATGCGTGCTATAATAAAATCACTTAAGTGAAAGGTTGTGGGGATAGGGAAAAGATCATATTTTTAAAGGAGAGTTCTGGTGATCATATCTTAACCAAAGACTCAAATTTATTATCACACATAAAAACCATTTTAGTTACCTCCTGATGTGATCCAGTATGAAGCCCACAGCATCACCTGTGAAGGATTCTTGCTAAATATAATCAGACCCCTAGACTGAACTTGCAGTTTATAGAAAATATAGGAGATGAATGAATTAATGAACATTTGGGGGAACCAGACAAATCGAGGATGGGGGACATTACAAAGGTGGGGGTGGCTGGGCGTGGTGGCTCACACCTGTAATCCCAGCATTTTGGGAGGCCTAGGCAGGGTAGATCACTTGACCCCAGGAGTTCAAGACCAACCTGGACAACATGGTGAAACAGTCTCTCTATAAAAAACACAAAAATTAGCTGGGCGTGATGGCATGTGCCTGTAGTCCCCACTACTCAGGAGGTGGAGGTGGGAGGATCGACTGAGTGCTAGAGTGAGCTATGATTGTGCCACTGCACTCCAGCCTGGGTGACAGCCTGTCTCAAAAAAAAAAAAAAAAAAAAAAATGGGGGGGGGGGTGAAGGAAGGATTGTTCTCAAGACTAAAGAGACATAATCACTAAATGTAATGCATGAAACAGCTGAAGCCATGTTCAAAAAGGTAAGTTTGAAGGCAGCTACAGAAATTTGAATATGGACTGAACATTAAGCATTGAGAAATGTCTTTAGATGCTATAATGGTATTGTGACTACTTTGGAAAGTGTCCTGACAGATGCATGCTGTAACTTTTAGGGGTGAAATATGTCTGCAACTCACTATTCAGCCTAAGTGTTCACACCTACACATTTACATAAAAAATATGGTAAAATGTTAATTGTTGAATCTAGGTGGTAGGAATACATGTATACACAGTATTTTTTTCAGGATATGCTTGAATATTTTCCAAAAAAAAAAGAAGAAAAATGAATGTTTTCACTATACAATCCACTTCTTGGAATTCCAAAGAAATATCCCAAATTCAAAATATTTGAATTTCCCCAAAAATTTCCCCAAATGGAAACATTCTTTATAATATCCCCAGATTAGAAACAATTAACAAGAAGGTTAAACTGGCACCACCATACCTGGACTACTAAGTTATACAAGATATGACATGGAAAGTTTTGGTGAAAAAGGTTAAACACCCAGAAGAGACTTGACGACTGAGACCCGTTTTTCAAGCCCTAGTTCAAAGTAGATTCTTTTCCCCGTAGTTTCTCCCAATCAGATCGAAAACACTCCCTTTCCCCAAACTTGCTATTGCATGGCTTGTACAACAGTTACTGTTGACTTTTCAACTTCACTATAAATTTACAGGGGTTGGGTCCATGTTTGTTCACTAGAACTAGTACAAGTGGAGACTGATCTAACGTTTGGAAGGACAAAAAATTAAAAAGGAAGAGGAAGGCAGTGAGTGTTCCGGCTGGAGGGTCAGCAGCTGGGATATGGCAGTGCAGTAAGGGGAGGAAATGAAATAGCCACTGGTTTCTGAGTGATTACATAACGCCACACACCATGCCAAGCAATCTCAATGCATCATCTAATGTGATCCCTGCAATCTTACTGGGTGGATACCATTTCAACAGCTGTAAAAGAGAAATGCAGAGGTTAATTTGACCAAGGGTCACATAATTAGCAAACCAGAAAATCAGATTCAAACACAAGGAAGTCAGATTTCAGCACCTAGGTCCTTTCCCATTTCATGAAATCACAAAGAGTATTTTTTCTTTAACGGTGGCAAAGGGTGAAAAGGCCAGATAACCTTTAGATTCCTTTCAATACCAACATTCTACAAACCTGTCTACCCAGCAAATTTGGAAATAGGCAAATTTGGTCACTACTACACCCTCCAGTTGATGTTAGGATAAGAAGCCACACTGGTGATGTTAGGCCAATTTGTGTCCGATTATGATCTTAGCGAGATCCACTGAACAGAAGGATAAGCTGCCTTCTGAACCCAGTTCTTTCTCCACTCCAGCAATAAATATTGCGAATAAGGACACATTGCTCACATGAAACTCCTTGGCTATAGATGGCAATTTCACATAATGGTATTAGGAATTAACTGTATTCAGGTAAAGAGAAAGCATGGATTCAACCCCAATGATTTCTCGAAATTTTTATTAATTTTTTTGTTTTTTTACAGCTTGATCCTCTTATGAAAAGGAAAGAATTTAAAGATGAACAATTACATTTTTGTTTAAACAGCAATTAATCCTCATTACAGAGAACAAAAGATCTGTGGCACATTGTCTTTGGAAAGATCTTTTGCAGATTTTTCTTCTAAAAAAAAACTATAATTCTCTCACAGATCACATATTCTTTCAAACGACTATACAAGGCAGCTAAATTTTATTCACAAAGCCCCAAGTTGCAGTTCCATTGCTGAAGTAGGTAAAATACATGGAGTTCCCCTTAATTTGTGTTGCACATCTTCCCATTGAGAGCATCACTGCTTCCCTACCCTATGTACAAAATCATTGTGTTGATGATAGCTGGCACGTTATTCCACAGTAATTAAAGAAAAACTTATTAAACATAGGCCAGTGATTTTCATTTATCAACTGGAAAATTTACTCCTTTTTAAAACAATTTTAATAATACCAAGATTTGACTTTCCTCCAAAGTTATAAGAAAGCAAAAAATATATAATATAATATAATATAATATATAATGGTAATAAATAAAAAAAAGGCAACCCTGCTCAGGTATCATCCAAAACATGATCACATTCAGAAAAAAAAAATTAAAACAAGATTTGGGACACATGCGTGCGTACATACACACATACACACACACAACCCCAACATGAACAGTGTATACTTGATATCTGAGGGGGATATGCAGTAATTTTAACAATACATGTCGATGGCCTGAACAAAGGTGAATGCTGCCTGTGTTAAGCATTGCTTAAAAAATCTACTTTTAAGCAAAGCAAGTTGTCTTCCTTAGGTCAGCCACTGCCTGGTCCGACCAGTGCAGCTTGGCCAGCCTCACTATGAGTGGTCTTATTCCCTTGTCCTCTCCAGGCCGATATACTAATATATAGGCTCACAAGGAGCTGTAGGGTTTCCCTCCTGCCCTCTTAGGTAGAGAAGTATAGGCACTTCTCTACCCAGTACAGTGCCTGCTGATCTCTGACGTTCAGTGGAACAGAATATAATGTCATTTCCTCCTGACAGTAAGAAATTTATAGCCACCTAAAGAAAAGCAGTAGTTGGTATTTGTCAACTCACCATAATTAAGAACTGAAGAACATGGTCAGTGCTCACAATTCATGAAGAGATGAACACTCCAAGTCACCGAGAAACCAACACAACTGGATTGCATATTTGAGGTTCACATGGTGGCAATATCACTTGCAGTGTTTGAAGGAAAACCCCCAACACGATGCTATTCTGCCGTTACACCTCCTTCCAATAGAATGACACAAAATAAAGGCACAGGAAAATACCTTACATCCATTAATCCTAAGTGGGACCCAAAACAAAAGAGACAACTGGCTCAAGAACAGGAGGGGAAAAAAGGTACTGCCATAATTGATCCTAGCATCCCTTCATGGCTGCAATGCGTAACTCTCACTTTTCAGTGAGAAAAATCTATACTCTTGTGTTTCTAAAGAAAGCACAAAATATTCTTGCAAGATTTAAATACTGCTAATCAGTGGCAAAGAGTGTAAACAGATGAAATGGCAAAGTTTTAAAAGTTTTTTTGTAGTGTTTGGGAAAATAAAGAATCTGTGGTAGGAAGCAAGCAGGTTTAAGTACAAGAAAACAAAACAAAACAAAACAAAACAAAAAACAAAAAAACCCGAAAGCCCAGCCTCAAGCCTCAACCTACTTTAAGATGCACAAATACAACTCAAACTTCATAAAGCAGAGGAGTAAAAGGTGCAAGAGCCATGTAGCATCCCTGAAGCCATGGCGAAACAAACACAGCGGTATTTAAAAACTGGGTTCACTCAAAGGCACAATTCAATCAACCTCTTTTTCTCTATTTAAGTGTATATATTTATATCCCTTTGTATATCAGAGATAAGTTTTGTTAATTGTAGAGGACACAATGGCTTTCTTCTTGCTTCTAAAAATTACTGAAGATGAATCATAATAAAACAGTAAGCTCCTGATGCTAGTAACATTAATGTGTAAGATACCAAATAAGGCAAGTTTTCAGCCAGAAAGGGGTAGGGGGTTTTAGCTTTCTAAACATCCTGAGACCTGAAATTAAAGGATACAGGACAAGGGAGATAAGTGCGGTCCAATCTGTGTAAGGGAAATAGCTACATATTTTGGTCAAAACAGATAATATGAAGGTCTTTTTGTTACAAAATATTAGATACTTTTCCCATTCAGTATTGTAATCAAATCATAATATCAGACAGTCAAATTCTCCTCCTATTGTGATTCTATTTCTGATAAATGCTTGCTGGGCCCTCCCACTCCTCACCACTGCTACTAGGTGGCCAATGTTTTCACAATCCGAACCCAGTATAATTTGATAAATTTTAGTAAAGTGTTTTTTCATTATTTAGCAGGGCTCTTAAATTCAATAATTCACAGAAAGGACAGAAACATTAAACACTTTAAAAAATAAAACAGTGTTCTTCCATTTCCTACTAAAGACACACACACACACACACACACACACACACACCTTGTAGTGCCAAAGGCAAGATTTACACTCTATTTTCACTCCTTAAGATGCTTTGCATTTGTCTTACTCTGAAGTGTGTACTATTATTGTTATAAGAACTTTCCATACTCTAAGGCTTAATTTTATAATCTAGCCCTTTCAAATGATCTACCTCAGTACAGATTTTGCCTTTGGGAATTGTAAGCATGCAGTGAAAAAGTGCAAATCATTTTAAAAATCCTTCAGACCTCTATATACAACCGTAACAGCAAAAAGACCCTATGAACGTTAAGGATTCATCAGCCACTACCTTTCACATACTCTATTAAAAAGGTTACCATTAGTTACTCTCCTTTAGGTACAATGCAATAAGGATCAGAAATATCCAATGACCAAAGTAGTACAAATTGATCTATGCACATTTGTTACTTTTTCAAGGGACAAATAAAATCTTTATATCAAGTTCAGAGAAAAAAAAAAAAACCCACAAAGAGTAAGGCCACTGAAAAAGCAATCTGTTTTAGAGCTGGCTGAGAAATCTACCTGGAAATGTCTTCAGTCAAGGGAGCACTGTGGCTTGCCAACAGAACACGCACATGCTCTGGCACAATCTGCATAGAACCTGCCATAAAGAACACAACCCTTCACAATTGACAGGTGGCTTGTTCTAGGGAATGATAGGACAAAAGGGGAGGGGATGGCTAAGGGAGTAAGGAAAAAAGAAAGATGTTAAATAACATCTTCAATATCGAAATAAAGCCTGATTCTGGTGCCTTGTCCTTTACATATAACAGATGGACACACAATGCTACACACACACCAAACCTACCAGGCAATTACTGTTCATTTAACACAGGTTTTTAAAACTAGTAGTTTAAAAAGGACCAGGGCTTTGCTTTATAACATGAATAAATGAAACCGGTCATCAGGAATCACACATCAAGGTCTTATGCTCAGATATGACTACAGCTGTCATTCTCTGGCTTTCACCTAAACATGAGGGACCAGACCTCTGACTTAGTGACAACCAAAGAACAGTCTGGAGAAGAAACTGAAGGAACAGCCTCACACAGACCACTCACACTGTGAGAGATAAGCATCGCTCCCATCCCTCGACACATCCCTTTGTGTATTTACAAACTACCAAGAGAGTTCCTGCATTCATCATAGGGATCTTAGATGTCTTCATTATAAATAAATATGGTTCTCCCTCCTCCACTAATAGGAAAATGTGAAACATGCTTGGTAGGAAACATGTACAGGGGCAGAATGGGACAAAGGCGGAGAAAAAGTTATAGAGATGACACTCCTCAATTGTAGTAAGTGTGCAAATTCTACTTCTAAAAGGGATAAAAAAGAATTGGCTTTTAAAAACACTGCACTCAAAGTAATGTTTCCAATAATAACCTTTAAAGTTTCAATGAAAAAGAAAAATCTGTGCTTATGGGCACATGGGATTTCTGATTGTGTTACTTCATTTTAGGTCATTCAAAATGGACTTGGTTTAATGCATACACTATGGCAATAACTTACGGAGGGCCACAGTTCCTCCTCAACCAAATCAAATCTAGCTGAGAACACTCTGGAGTGAAGGCATGTGGTGATGAGTTTTTCAAAAGTCTAATCAACCACCCCAAATCTCTACATCCTCTCAGGGAGTTAACTTCCCCTAGACAATCAAGGACTCTGAAAGTCTAGTTTTGCTATAAATATAAAATATTTGTAGCAGAAAAATATAGCCTCTCTAAGAAGCAGATTTCATGTTTCTTGTTCACTGACGAAACTCTGAGTTGGCTGGACAACATGAGTTACCACATAACTGTAGACCACAGATCAGCACCTCAAATTCCAGCTCTACTTAAACAAAACTTTAAAAGCACTTTAGCCATCTGGTCAGGTATAAATGTTGGTTCCCTTCTTCCCCAAGGGAGGAAATTCAGAATAGAGTCAACAGTGACTGCCCTGTTAGAGAGTCCCTTTCGCTGAAGCAGGGGTGGGAAATGGCAGGGGTAGGAAATGGCAGCGCCAAGTCCTCCTGTGCAGACCTCGAGGTGGCACCCCATGTGCTGTGGCTCCTCCTCACCGCTCCGACGTGGGCTGACTTTCAGCACAGTAATGAGAAGTCAGAGCTGGGGTCAATGTGCAGCGCTCTAGGCAATGGGGAGATTGGGGGCGGCAGGAGCGGGGGTTGCCTTCAATTTTATAAATTACAACAATACTTGGTATTATCAAGCCACTGTTCATTGGCAGAAAGTGGGGCACAGTGGAGTCCTTCATTACTTATGGTTTACAGATGGCCATTAGAAGTTACTAAACAAATATTTCTCCCAAAACTCAAAAGAAAAAAAATCATCCACAAAACCCTTTACCAAAAGTCATTGTTAAAAAAAAAAATTTCCTTCTGGGAATGGACTAGCGTGGCTACTGAGATGACGTGAAATTCACTTTCAGAGTTGAAACTGTTTCTCCTCATTTCATTTGCAACTTGTATCCTGCTGGTTTAAAAAAAAAATAGAAATGTTTCTAGACCATTCATACACCCATTTAAGCTAAATTGCACTTCTGTCCTTTAGTTAGGAAGGGCAAGATCATCTCTGGGGCCAGCCTCCTCATCTCTGCTTCTGCATAACCACAGTGTCCAACCAATGATCACACTGTTGTTGAGAGTTTAAGTGGACAAATGTCCTGGCCATCTCGTGGTGCTTCTTTTTTAGAGTTTGGTGTCCTGATGAAACAAATGTCTGGACTGTTTTTGAGGCTTCCAATGTGCAAAAATAGTTCCCAAGGCATTGAATCAACCTGGGGCTCCATTAAGGTGTTTTGGTTAATTCTTGTAGCTGCTGAAAACCCTGTCGTGTATAGTGCACCAGGTCCACCAAACTGCTGTTGAGGGCCAAGGTGCACACATTTGTGCTGAGCCGAGCAAAGAATTCTGCAAAAAAAACAAAACAAAACAAAAACAAGTAAATACACAAGCACACACAAAAATTAAAATGGAAACAAAAATTCAAGGTTCCAGAAGGTAGGTCCCCACAATATTCTGCACTTAATCACATCAAAAAAATCACAATCTACTGTAATTGCTTGCTAATTCTCCACTAGACTACCAACCAGGTTTGCTTTAGAGCTGAATCCATAATGCTTAGCACAATGGCTGGCACTTGGAAAACACCAAATTTATACCTTTGCCTCAAAGGATGCATTAATGAAAAAAAAAAGTTAAAAGCATTATCAGTTTGATAAGACAGATAAGGCCCTAAGAGGCTCTATGTCGAAAGTAAGTAGTTACAGCCAGCTGGCTCCAACTCTCCTGAACCTTGCATTTCTCCAAGGGTCTTCTTCCCCAAACAAGTCTCAATAATGTTTACTACGCTGTATCTCTCGTACCATAGCTACTATCTTTCTTAACATATACTAAAAACAAATAATCTCGGTATTTGGGTTATGCTACTTTGTATCTCCAATGTGCTGGGCCTAGGAACAGCCAGTGGCTCCTCTTCTTCATTTGCCCTGCCTTTCAGCTAGCATTTCAGCTCAGGCTGAAGTAATGACAGCAGAGCTTCAGAAGGGGCAAGGCGCTAAAGCCACTTGTATTTTGGTTTTGCTAAGATCTAGCCACAGAAACTCAGCTCCATGCCACAGTGCTCAAGGAACAACCGCAACTAGGTTTTGAGGCAGAATAGAGAAAATATAATTAAAGTAAAACAGCTACACATTCCCTTTTCTCCAAGAAACTGAACTTATAAAATATAAACCAATGTTTATTCCTCCCAATCCAAACACCCCAGTAATTACCACCACAAAGCCATTTATTTACCTTTATTCTTCCTCGTGAGGGCCTCGGCCTGTTCCCAAAGGTCAAAGGCGGTAAGAACATGGGATGTGATGGTGACATAGGAAGATGTCATATTCTGGATGGTGACTGGGGTGCTGATAGTGGCAGCCACCCCACTGCTCCCCACACTGCCAGCACTTGACTGGGACCCTACGGAGCTGGCAGGAGAAGGCATTGGGGAAAGAGGGGATGGTGTGCCTGTGCTTCTGGGAGGTGGAAGAGAAGAGATAACTGATCAGTCAGTCACCAGTAGACCCCTGGATCACAGATTTACGTGTCTGGAACTACAGTCCAAGACACAAAGTTTCACTATACACCTGCCAAAATGATAACCACTGCTAAAGTCACTCCTACAAGGTCAACGAGACACCCTGCTGGGCTAATCTGTATTCCAAATATGCTTTCCCATGCCATTCGCATAGTCTACTTCCTCTGCCTGGAATCTCCTAGTAAGACAATACTCTATGTATGTAATGTATGCATATGTAGGTATGTGTGTGCACCCACCTGTATTTCATCCTTTCATCCACTCAGTAAACACTAACTGAGCACCTGCTCTGTACCATGCATTCTTTTAGACACTGTGGATACCCTGGATATATCACAGCTTCCTTTCTGCCACCACTTGAACATCTCTCTTTTCTTACATTTATCTACTGTTTATTCCTTTTCCTGGGCCACAGCAGAAATAATGTCTCACTAATTTTTGCATTACTAGCACTTAGCACAATAGGTGCTAGAAGTAGGCTCCTGATAAATACTTGCTGAGCCAATGAATGAACTAATATTAAGTATCATGCATCAGAAGACTCTATCTCCTCTTTACTCCACTCTTGGCTGAATATCTGGACCTGCAAGTTAACATGTGACTCAATGTGGACTAAATAAAAAAGAGTTAATGAATATAAAATGGAAAGATGATGGTTCAGCGGCAGTAGCCTCATGATGTTACACCTGCCGTTTGGGCTGCACGGACCTAGCAGAATGTACATTTGCAAGGAGTAGAGTGAAAGCTCCATGAGGGCAGTGGTTCTTGTCTGCTGTATCCCCAGTACCTAAAACAAGGCTTGGTATGAAGAAGGTGCTCAGTATATACTGGATGGACAAATGATTGAAGGAGTTATGTAAATAATGTGATTGACAATCTATTAGCTTAGAATAATATCTCAATGCAGCAGCCATGAAAATCTTCAGAGGTAATACGAAGTTGCTTCTTAATCAGGACTTTCTTTTTTAAGAGAGGCCATATGGGAGTCTCTTCTTTTGAATGTGCTAGAAATAGGGCAGTCGTGTAAGTGATATTCTTAAAATAGCAAAGCTTATCAGAACTAGGAACTTCACAAGGAGTATGACCAAATTAAAAAATACTAGGCAAGGACTACAGGGAAGAAAATTCCAGCTTCACTTTAAAAACACTTGTACAAGGATTCTTTTTTTCTAATAACTTACAGCATACATGAACAATTTTAGTTCACAAAATGGGGAAAAAAATTTTGCTAAAGATAATCATTTTCATTCTTAGTATTGCTGGTGTGGCATATGGCTCTGGAAATTTCTTGTTTACTGAAATGCCAAGAAGCTATGTCCATACATACAGAGAGAGAAAGGACTCTGGCTCTGGTTCTGTTGGCTCCGCCTCTTGTTTTGTGTTCTTAGGCTTATCTAAAGATCCTCAAAGCTCGGCCAGGTGCGGTGGCTCACGCCTGTGGCATCCCCGCACTTTGGGAGGCCAAGGCAGGCAGATCATTTGAGGTGACAAGTTCGATACCAATCTGGCCAATGTGGTGAAACCCCATCTCTACTAAAAATACAAAAATTAGCTGGGCATGGTGGTGGCACAGGCCTGTAATCCCAGCTACTCGGGAGGCTGAGGCAGGAGAATCGCTTGAACCTGGGAGGTGGAGGTTGCAGTAAGCCAAGATTGCAGCACTGCATTCCAGCCTGGGAGACAGAGCAAGACTCTGTCTCAAAAAACAAACAAACAAAGAAACAAACAAAAACCTCAAAGCTCAAAAATTTCAATTCTATATTCTTTGCAATTACCTTTTTATGTTTTCCAATCAGCAAAAACCTTGATTTATAACTATTTCTCAAAAAGGTAGAAATATGCTAATAATTTAAATTTAGGAGCAACCAGCAAACAGATGAAGCCAACAATTTTTGAAAAGGCAAAGTGACATATGTAAGCATACAAATGGTTGCAAAAGCAAGAAGTAAATAAAGAAATGACTCAATTCTGGAAATTATTTATATTAGACTTAGAGTTACCTTGCAATGCATGGAGAAGGTGCCTGGGCGACTTTGGAAGAACTCTCGAAGTGTTTATTAAGAGTACGAGAATACTTTATTGCTATGTCTTTTTTACAACGAAACATCGCCATGTTCAAAATGGACTGGCAACGCATGCTATGAACAAAGACAGAAGTGAAACTGCACGTGACTATCATACTACAGAAAAGCAGCCATCTAACCTTTTATAGCCTAATGAACACACCGGGTTTGCCTCACCTGTGTGAGTTAGTATGTAAAGTATCTTACTGCTCTGTTCATACTATCCCAAAAGTAAATGCTGGTAGAAAACACAAGGATATAATTTATATCACAAGACCAAAGCATTTACCAAGCCATCAGAAAAATGGCAGCAGATACCATTTTATAAGAATTACTATCAGTGAGGGATTAACCTTTTGACCAAAGTACTGACTTGCTTTTCATAATTTTCACATTAAGAAAACAAATTTCAGAATCTTTTTGTAACATCAACAGATGCAAAAACAAATTTAGTACTATTTAGACAAAGGAAAATACGCACCATAAAACAGCAAATATTTTCTCTTGTGTTGGCGCTGTGGCATCTGAGAAGGATTTTAATGACATTATGAATCTATAGGAAAATATAAAAGTACATCAGGTTTTAAACAAAGGCAGACACAAATACAACTTACTATGCTTGTTTCCATTTTATATTGACTTTTCCTGAAGAAGAGATGAGAGCATCACAGGAAAAAAATTTAAAAACCCAAGGCTTTAGAGCAACAATCCAGGCCATTGAGAAAACTAGGTGAGTACACGTCTCTTGTGTGGCTTGTCTACCTCTTGAAACCAAGTGAAGTTGTGTCCTTACTGAGTCCCCTGTTGAAATGTAGGTAAGTAAACAAAGGCTTAAACTGAGAGGAGAGGACACTTCATAAAAAAGCTAAACTGGAAAAACCAATCTCCCTCAAAGCTTTGGCACTTCTTGGCGCACTTAGCAAAATGATGCAGTTGGACCCAGTTATTCTGTGCTAGCACTTCATCTAGAACGCAACTTCAGGACAAACACTAGTTCTTAGACCAATAACTTTTTTAAGGCTCCCCTTTATTGAGCCATCTTCACACTAAGGTTCAAATGGATTAAAACAATAAAGGTGAGGAAAGAAAAGGACTTAAGAGGAAAGCACAATGACTCGGCACTTACTTAATGAGATCTACAGTTTCTGAGTAGACAGAGTAAGCTGACTTGGATGACTGGCTTTCAGACTCTGTGGCAATTCCGCACTCAATGAAGGACAAGACGGCTTCCAGGTACTTAAAAGCCTTTCCAACCCTGTCCGTCTGCAGGAGAAGAACATGGTCATTGTTAGGCTGAAGACAAACCTTGATTTAGTTTCTCACCCACATTCTTTAGTGTGACTTTCCTCCACTGTCTTAGTTTAATTATGGCCAGGGAGAAGTGTGAGGATGAATGAACTAAAAATGATAACCAAAGCCTGTCAGCTATGACCTGCTGAAAACTATTTTAGCAAAAATTCATTAGGAAAAAGAAAATGATCCCGTATTAAGACCATGCTCTCAAAGCCTTATGAAAGCACATACGCAAACTAAGGCAGTAAGTACATAGTCTCCTTGTTATTAGTGTCAAATTACTCATTCTATAACTTCCTTGAGAAACAGATTATTCCACATGTCTGGAGTAATGCAGACGCATATTTCTTTGTGCGTGCTGAAGTTTATTAAAAAGAAAACACTCATCATGGTTTATGAGCATGTTAGACATAATAGCCAACAATAATTGTTATATGCATTTTACAGCCCAATAGATTAACCTCCTTTGACATCTGCTTTAGTGCACAAAACCATCCTCCGAGGCCAACAGGGGTAACATTTCAGAGTCCCTTAAAGGGAATGTAGAAATATGAACAAAATCAGATATTGGTGGTCACCCTACACCCTGAATACACACTTTGTCACACAGCACGCTTCTAAGTGGCATATGGCAAGTGCAGCTGATGACAGTGTGATGCAACTGTCTTTCTCTCTACATGTGGCGTATGTACTGCCCATGAAGACCTTGAGAGCAACTGATTAGCATTTGTAATTTCTGCTTTGTATTTGATATGTTCAAAAGGAAAGAATGAAAATAGGGGCCGGGCATGGTGGCTCACGCCTGTAATCCCAGCACTTTGGGAGGCTGAGGTGAGTGGATCACTTGAGGTCAGGATTTTGAGACCAGCCTGGCCAACACGGCAAAATCCCATCTCTACTGAAAATATAAAAATTAGCCAGGTGTGGTAGCAGGCCTGTAATCCCAGCTACTTGGGAGGCTGAGGCAGGAGAGTCGCTTGAATATGGGAGGCAGAGGTTACGGTGAGCCGAGATCATGCCATTGCACTCCAGCCTGGGTGGCAGAGCAAGACTCTGGCTCAAAAAAAAAAAAGAAAAAGAAAAAAAGAAAGAAAGAAAATAGTAAAGATGTAAGTGGAATACAAGGAGCTGGAGACACGTCAGCAATGAGAGCGGTATGGGCTGTCATGCTACTTAGGCATGCTGCTGCACTCTACACAGGGCAGAAACAACGCTTCTCCCAGTGAGCTGACAACAGAATGACTTTAGTGCATACTGTTCTCATGTTTTACCAGTAGCAGAATGAACTAGGCTGCTATACATATACACATGTAGTATACATGTATATTTCAGAATATTCAATTATTCTAACATTTTTTATTTTAAAAGGTAACTTAATCAAAAAATACTTTCTCTAGAGAACCGAGGCTCAGATTAGTGACAGAACAAAAATCAAATGAGTATTCCCCAATTAATCAGCAGTATTTGGCATGACCGGTTTGCTTCACTGATGGAACTGAATTCTCCAAATATACTTATTCAACACCATCTCTTTCATGGGATTTCCAAAGTTAATATTGGCTTTAGGCTAGAAATAAACTAAACTACAATACTGTGTAGCAATTTGTCAATATCCATTTCCTTTAGATAAGTATATCATAAGGCCAATAACGTCCATATTTCTGTGATTCCATGTATCTCCTGAAACATTGTTAAAGTAGTTTCCCTCATCACTCATCAGTTGAAGATAACGTAGAGAAGAAATACATCCCTTTCTACTCAGTTGGATAGGTAACTATTTGGAACACCAACTGCACATCTTTGAAACATTATGCTATTAAGGGAGAATATTATGGAGTGGGTGGGCCACAGGGGCTTACTGTCCAAGCTGGCATATTTTAAGAGTGAAATGGGATATAATTATTTATCAAACTGGGATGAAACAGGCATAAACCAGGACTGTCCTGGCACACTGGGATGTACAGTCACCTTAGGTAAGGAGAAAGAATGTATGCATATGAATAGATTAAAAACAAAGTTCCCTAGAGTATGAATATTACTCCTTTGAATAACGAGAAATCTTAGTACTGAAAGTATCCAATGTCAAGATAAGTTTTAGATAACTGGCTGACAGTGCGAAATATTTACTCTTTCCAAAACTCCAAAGATTCATACAGTTCCAGTAATAATCTTGGAAAAATGGAAGCTGCTGAAACCACTGCTTGGCACAATCTCAGATTCTTAATTGACTTAGGTCACCCTGGTACAGCGCAGTTTTAGGAACAGGGCTAGAGAGGCTTGTCTTTGACTATCTTACAGAATTGAGCATGGTAAGGAATCAACATTTTGCCTAATGCAAGGGTATCTGATGAAAGAGTCTGAGAAGAGATACAGGTCTGCAGATTAGGGTTGAAGAGCACCAGGCCAGGATCTTGCGGGCTGGGCCACCATGAATCAATCTGATTCAGACCCCTGTGGGTGTCTGAAATGTGTAGTTAGGTTTGCATGTGAACCAAAAAAGGCAACTCATGCCCTTCCTCTGTGTACCAAAGTTCAACATATGGCTTTCCAGGGAGGTTTTTGCATTTTTGCATTTGTGGGGATTTAGGTTTAGGAACTCACTACATAAGCAAAAGCCCCAGAGTCTTGGATATCTAAATATGACAAAGGGCAAACATTATCTCATTATTGCAGTAGTGATGTAAAAGCATAATTATGTACACAATTAACTACAAAACCACCACCTTTTAGAAAGTCCAAAAGCCAATAGGTAAAGAGAATTCATGTTTTTAAAGCATGTTTACCAACAGTATAATCATTACCTTCATCTTAAAATCTCATCTAATAGCCTAGCTCAACTCTTCCTTCAGGTCAGCCTCTGAAGGCTTTAAGATAATTTTGGAATGTAAACAGGCTTCCTGCCTTGTGAAATGTTTTAGAGTGAACACACGTTGACTGAGTTTCAACAGCAGGGCTCATTTTTCACATCCAAAGAATTGATGCAGTGGAATAAAAAGGCACCTATGCATTAAATCACCAGCAGGTAGATTAACTTTGACTTACTTAGATACAAAACTTGTGACTAGGTCCTTTGTATATCTGCCCATGATCAGACTGAATCAATGGAGCCAAAGAAAATACCACCACTAAGAACCACCTACCCCTTAATCATTAAGGTCCTGATTTTGCTGCGTGCATATGTTGTGGCCAATGGTAGGGCCCATACACTCCTTTCTCCTGCGCCTGCTGCACCCCCTCCTTCCACCGCACATACGCTGAGTGATATGGAATACAGCAGAATGGAGACTACCAAAAATTTTTTTTACTATCAGAAAACATTCTACCAAAGAGATAAAGGGCCAATACTAACCATTAACTCTGCTTTCTGCTTCATCTTTTTTGCCTCCCTCATGTGAAGGTCTGCTTGTTGTCTGAAAAAGAGGAAAAACCAGGGACAGGTCATATGAGCCAAAAATTACTAGACTAGGGCAAGATAAGACCAAGAGTGAAAAAGGATGGGAGGACAGCAAGGGGAGGAGAGAGGGTAAACAAAGAAGGAGAAGTGGAAATAAGGAGGGGAGGAGGAAATGGAGGAAGAAAGAGCAAGAAGTGGCTGGGTGCAGTGGCTCACGCCTGTAATCCCAGCACTTTGGGAGGCCGAGGCAGGCGGATCATTTGAGGTCAGGAGTTCGAGACCAGCCTGACCAACATGATGAAACCCGTCTCTACTAAAAATACAAAAAAAGTTAGCCAGGCATGATGGCTCATGCCTGTAGTCCCAACTACTTGGGAGGCTGAGGCAGGAGAATCACTTGAACCCGGGAGGTGGAGGTTGCAGTGAGCCAAGATCATGCCACTACACTCCAGCCTGGGTGACAGAGTGAGACTCTATCTTGGTGGGGGGGGGAAGCAAAACAAAACAAAACAGAGCAAGAAGAAATCATCTGAAGTCTTACTTGTCAAACTTCACTTGAGGCTTCCCTGGTTTAGAGTTACCATTTGGCAAAGAAGGCACTGGAAAAGGATTTGCAGTATCTCCGGAAGAACCCTTCAAAAAAAAAATCAATATACAGATTACACTCTAACATTTAAGACCACTGTCCTAAAAGTACCATCCCTCTTAAATAGCCCGAAATAGTAGTTTCAAAAAAGAGTAAATCAAACAATGCACAATCTACCCTGGCTAAACACTTCCTCAGCTACAGATTCAACTGAAGCGGTGGTTCTGATTGTACTGGGGACTCAAAAAGACTAGAATGTCCAAGAGATCAGAGAACTCACAAAGCCACACATAACACTTTCTCTTAGTCAATCCAAACACACCACTCCACTCCACCCAGATTAACAGGAAGAGAAGAACTTTTATTTGAGAAAGTGGATCATTTTTTCCCCACTATAACCAAGAATGAAAGTATCTGAGATCAAACATTCAAAGCAGGACTACACAGGGTAACTATTTCTTACTGTAAAACACCCTAACAAAAACTAGCACAAAAATCTATTTTGATTTTTCACCTCTGAAATCACTGTAAGAAGAATAAATCGACACCTAAATCTTTGTGTATTATTAATACCTTTTACTCTCCCTCCAAAAAGTAGCATTTTAAACACAAACAGTTGCCTCATTAAAAGCAATGGACAGTTCTGAAGTGCCATCACTAGCAACTTGTCTTCTTTGGGAACGTAAAGGTACAGCAATGCATCCCATCTTACAGAGTGACCGCCGCCCCTGCTCACCTTGTGCTCCGAGGAGCTTCTGGAGCCCTTCCCCTCTACTCTTCTCTGCTTGGGAATGGAAGAGTCTTTGTGGTTGCTCTTGGTACTGCTGGCACTTTTGGGAGGGTCCTGGCCACAGGTGTCTGCTTCCCGCCTTGACCTCTTAAGTGCAGGCTTGGCTGGCTTCTGGGAGGACGAGGACACGGGTGGCGGGGGGAGCATTTCCTTCTTTGAGGACTGTGAGGAGGGCCTGGAGGGCCTGGAGTGAAACATCACGTAAAACTAAGAGGAGGCAAAGTACACATCAAGCGGCTTCGTTGTTTAGTTACAAACTGGCTGCTGGCACAAAAGAGTAGGGTATCACAAAGCATGAAACTGTGTAAACAGGCCAAATTTCAGGGACTTTTTGAGGCATTTCAAAAATCTAGCCCTACCCATTAGTGATAAATGAAGCTGTATAGTTTCTAAGCTTGCAGAGTCTGCCAGTGGTCCTGACTTTCCCCAACCATTCCGAACGCCTGCTTCAGCTGCTTCCCAACCGGTGCCTTTCCCTGACAAGAAGACGAGTGGACACACACCCTCCACATCTGAGCCTTCCCCATCTCTGTCGGTTCCCACACGGTGACACTATGCACTTGTTTTTGCCAATACATTTTTTGAAGCAATTTCTTGAGTAAATCACAGTAAATAATAGCTGCTTGTTATATTTACGTCTTCCTGGCACTACCACTTCTCACCTGCCACCCCTCTTCCCAACAACAGACACTGAGTGGTCTGACAGATTCTCAGTCATCTCTAAAAGAAGGAGCACTGAACACAGGCTCCCGGAGTCCAAATGCTGGCTCCAACACACAGTAAGAATTCTCTGACTTTGGACAAGTCATTTTCTCTGTGTGTTTGTTTCCAATTCTGCAAAGTAGAAATAAGGGTACCTTTCTTACTTTCCCTCAGGGAAAAAAAAAATCCAGATGTCTAAAGAAATTGTCCATAGTGAAAATGTTTCTGATAAATCTAAATTTGCTGCCACATGAATTGTTAATTCCTGTAAGGTCCTCATGGATGCAAGAAAGAAAAACAAACTTATTACATTGTCCAAATGAGCTTGAGTTTATTAATCCACTGATTCTAGTGCAGAAGAAAAATTTCTTTGCTATGTCAAGACCCAAGAAGTGTTGATCACCGTAGATTAGGTGGTTGCTAATCTCTATACTCACTTTGTTTTAGAAGATTCTTTGTGGGAGGATGAAGATGAAGATGACTGTGATTTGATTTCCTTCTCCAGTCTGATTTTCTTGTTATCACAGTCTCTTTCTGCTTCACCCTATTACAGTATAATCAGCAAAGCAAATTATTACCAACATAATTGTACAGACAAAACAGAAAAGAAAATATAGAAAAGGCAAAGAGGGTAAAGGAACCTTTGGAGACATCTCTGTACGCACAGCAACCTTCTTAGTACTTACCATGTGTGTCTGTGTGTGAGTGTGATGGGGAGTGGGCAGGGGACAATGTAGATTTGATATAATTTCTATTGAGACAGATTTTTTTGCACGAAGAAAAACAATTCCTCCCATGCAAGAAAACGAAGATGCCTAAAGTAACAGACAATGCCAGTAAGTAGACTTCAATAGACCACTGATGTTTTTCTAAATAGAAAAGAATCCACAAAACATGCATATTTACATCAAATAATACAGAGATGATTTTTTATGAGGTTTCCTCCAACTTCTTTCGAAAGAACCATCCACTTAAACCCACTAGTTTATTGTTTGTATAAAATTCAAAATGGACTACTTAAAGCTTACTTTATTTTCTACTGAAAAATAAGTACAATGTTGAAAGGAAACCGTCTACAAAATCCCGTGTATTTTACAGAAAGGACTACAAAGATATATAACAACAATAGAAACAATTGCTCTGGGATTCTAGCTAACATTTTTTCCCCTCCACTGATTCAATTTTTTTAATACTGTCTTTATATCTCTCCATATACAGAAACATGTTTTTATTTTTCAAAAAACCCTGAAAAGACTGTAAATATTTTAGTGGGAGTAAGGAAAAGGGAATCTGTCACTATTGAATTTAAGTATCTCTAACTTGGTAGCTTGAAAGTAGGGTTAAAAAAAAGAAAAAAGAATTTAAGTACCTTCAAAGCATCCATTTATACCAACTAAAGTGCTAAATACATTTAATCACTAAAACAACACAGAATTCTTCCACGATGAAAGTCTTTCTTGCATTCTTGTGCCTCACTTGTTAGCACATACACCAGCTTTCTAAGGAGTCTGACATGCAGACTCCCTGACGGCCTCCTTCCCATGGCTCTGGGTTCAGGAGGAAGCCCACATACTGTCTAGCAGGTGGCAGGTAAGTGATGGGTGAGACCCTTCAATTAATTCTCATGTGCATTTAGAACGAAACTTCCTAAGTGTCAGGTCACCAAGTTAGAAATCTGGGACACCAGTCAATTTAGGACAATCCCTAACAAACCTGAAATCCTCTCTTAAAAAATAAAAAACTTCAAATTAACTGTGGGAGGTCCCAGTTTTCCTGTGTCTTCCTCTCCTCCCGAGTTTAAGAAAAATGAATAATTTAAGATGTGTAGGCTCCAAATCTGCCCAGACACCAATAAGCAGCCTGGCTCCACACAAAATAATAGAAAACAGAAAAAAAACAAAATTCCCTTCTCCTGGCATCCTACAAATCAGTGTGCCTGCATCTGCACATCCATCCAGCCCTTCACAGGCTCCTTTGGAAAAGACACTTTTATTCATTTATGCAGTGTCTTGTTTCAAAACGGCTTCCTTCAGAGTGGCTTACAAAGATACCTGTTTTTAATCTTGCGGCATGTGCACAAGTGAGAATGTTAAGAAGGGAAAATACAGGAGGAAGAAATAAATTAAGGCCAAGTGAAGGCTCGTACCCTCGGGAGGCTATCAGTTCTCACTGTCCTGCATGCTACCATCTGGCAGCTGCAGCCACAGCCACATCTAGGGAGCACCTGAACTTGAATGGTGTTAGTCTGAAATGACTTAGTAGAAAAAAGAGAATGTAATATTTTTATATTGATTTTTTTACTGATGTATAACAGACTTACATATTTTGGGAGTTGATTAAAGTAATCTTTTAGGTATACTGGATTAGATATAATTATTAAAATGTTAGGCTGGGCGCGGTGGCTCATGCCTGTAATCCCAGCACTTTGGGAGGCCAAGGTGGATGGATGACTTGAGGTCAGGAGTTCAAGACCAGTCTGGCCAACATTGTGAAACTCCATCTCTACTAAAAACATAAAAATTAGTCGAGTGTGGTGGTGCGTGCCTGTAGTCCCAGCTACTCAGGAAGCTGAGGCCAAGAATCACTAGAACCCAGGAGGTGGAGGGTGCAGTGAGCTGAGATTGCGCCACTGCACTCCAGCCTGGGCATCAGAATGAGACTGTCTCAAAAAGAATTTTTTTTTTTTTTTTTTTTTTTTTACTAATTTTCCATTTCCTCCCCTTTTATAGTTTTTAATGTGGTATTAGAAAAGTTTAAATTACATATGTGGCTTATATTCTATTTCTACTTGACAGCACAGTTCTTCACAGTTTGCTATAGACAATCTGAAAATTGGGTTCTGAACTACTAATCAGATTAGCCAATGCAAAGAAGGAATTATAAATATACTGCTTAGATAAGATAAAAACATATCAGCTACTCAGAAATGTAATAATTCATTAGAGAAGTTGGAAAAATGTACCTTGAAGGACTGAAAAGGGAGACAATATGAAATAAGCAACCGAGTTCTAAACCCACAAATGAAATGCAATAGGAAATTCTACACAGCTGTTTCTCCTGCAAGCATGGACCCATAGCAGATCCTGGAGCACAATTTAGAGTGGCCACATGCCAACAAGAAGCTTGCTGGGGCATTGCGACAGGGCTCTGCGCAGCATACAAACCTCCGTTCAACAACTCAGAGTGCTAACACTTGAGAGACAGTGAATAATGGTGGAGAGAAAAACAATCAATTGGAAATGATGGGGTTAAAATAGAACCTGACTTCTGGTACTGGTAACTCTCTTGTCAATCAAGCACCTAATTATGCCCAGGTTACCCTGTTACCAAACGGCCCAGTGAACTGTAGTGAGTTTTAGATGAAAGGCAGTATAGCCGGCCCAAGAAACATTACAAGACAGAAACTTTGTCTTTGAAAAGTCAAAATTTGCTAAAATATCCAGATCGATACTAAATTGAACATTAGGTACTAAAGTATACTTTTTTAAATGAAAGGTATTTCCAGGCAGTTAATGACACATTAAGGCCCCCAAGGCAAAACTAAGCATTAACAAGGCTACTTCTTAAAGAAAACACCAAAGTCTAGCAGTGAAATGAGAGCTGATTTTTGTTCATATAGTTTCATTTTGCTTAGGACATGCTGGTTGTGACTATAAGCCAATCTGGCAGACCTTATAGACCACACATGAAGATACAAGTCAGGGCAAATCAATCCTCACAGACTGGTTATAGCTCTGGCTGTGCCAATCGGTGACTCAAGTAGACAGCCAACAAGAGAGAATGCAGTGAGCACTAACTTCAGCGCCAGCATCTAACAACTGCATTGGCACTTACTGGAATAATATGCTTTATATTGATATTTAGCAACCTAGAAGCAGATAATATTCTATAAGCTGGTAGAAAGGAAGCCATCAAACTAAATAAAGCAAAAGTCCCCTTCTGCTGATTTTGCTTAACTGTTGAGATCAAGCCAGCGGGCATGAAGTTAGTGGTTTTTTGTACACTATGCACTTAGAACTTTGTCATCTTCTGTCTGGAACAGCCACAGAGGCTTCCCCAGAGTAGGCACTCGGTATTTGTCAGTTGGCACAGAAATTCAGCTTAACAGCTCAGGGACACAGCTGAGGGCACTGGATGCAGGACTGCATTACAACTTTAAGTGGATGGATGTAGGAAAGGGTCATTAACATGGGAGCCATGCAATATTGGGTGAGCAGAAATGCAGACCAAAATTCCAAGAACAAGACCTGCCGTAAAACAGGAGGCATGCTGTTCTTTAGATTTTTCTGGGTCAAGAAGCCATTCAGATGAGGTGATACTCTCTCTTCAGGAGGAAAAAGGAGTCCCTTTGCCCTGTGGTTTATCCCCAGGTCATCCCCACTTCAGGGAATCTGGCTTAAGGTCTGGGTTTCAGAAATTCTTTTTCTACTAGGTTAGTTGTCTCAAGGATGGTGCCTCACCTTCCACAAAGGGAGGCTGCCGGCTGACGAATTGGTCCTCACAGACTTGTTTGCTTTTCTTAACCTGTTGGGTCAGGCAGCCCTGATCATCTCTGCCAGATGCTGCTCCACCCACAGTGGAGCACAGGGCAAGAGTGAAGGCCATAAAAGGAAGACATGGGCTTGCAAGGGGCCAAGTCAGTTTCCGTCAGGGAAAGCCTCTCGGCAGGCTGCGCTGCCGTGCAGCCAGCTCACCAAGCAGACACTTGTAGGAAGCAGGGAAAAGGTGGCTTTTTCCAGAACTGACACTTATTTGGTGCCATAGAGATTCTAGCAGATGGAAAGATGTAGTGAACCAGGAGTTTGGCTGTGAAGGAAGATGGGAGCATCTGCAGGAGTAGCTAAAGTGGAGTAGGAATGTGTGTGGGCACTGAGTGGCAGTGGTGGGGGCCGTGGAGGAACCAAGCCGGGGCTGACGCGGTAACCACCTTATTCACCGGCAGCGCCAGAGCCAGTACGCCGACCTTGTGCGCCTCTTGAGAATCCTCCCAACAGACACTTGTACGGAGAAAACACATGTGAAAAAGAGGAAAGCTCACGGGACTGGGAGGAGGCAGCATGCCTGAGCTGCAGATCTATTTTTACTCAGCAGTCAAGCCATGTTAGTGCCTTTTTGGATCTCATCTATAAAAGGTGGCAGCTGATCAAGGGACCACTAAGGTTCTTTCCGCACCTAAATTCTAAGGCTCTATTATCCTCTTCCAAAAGGAAGCAAATGAGCTTGGTAGCACATGCAACACAGAAAACTGGAGAAGCAGTCTTTGGGGAAATTCAGGGACTTCCCTGTGATTCGCCTCGGAAGGAGATTCAATATGAAAAAGACACAAGGGACACCAATTCAAGTTTGTACCAAGATCAGGCCCAGGGACTTGCTGTGCAGACAGGTTATGTTCACTGGGGTGAGTGCTACAGAAAAGGGAAATTCATCCACTTGTTTTTCTCTTTGGTGAGGGAACGCATGATTCAGAACAGCCTAAGCTATCACATGCATATGGTTGTGGTGCTCTCCTCAGGGTAACTAACAGGCACGAAGAAATTTAGATGTAAGTGGCCTTAGTCAATCAGAAGGGATGAGCTTTCATTTTGAACGATAACTAGGGGTGCTGATCTGGAGCAATAACCCAAGAAAAGACAGTCAGATCTTGGATGGAAGGGAAGGACTGAACCAATCACTCCCTGCAATAAAACTGCATTTTCCTACTACACATCATAACTTCCCTTCCTCACTCTTCAAAACGCATAAATGATAGCACTGGAATGTCTTTCCCAAAAAAGTTGAAGTGTCTTGGTCAGCAAAGCGATTATTTAGAAAAAGTAAAAAAGATTTGAATGAATGCACCTCCTTATTCAGTTATTCATCTAAATGACAATTAAGACAGACTATCCTTCATTTGAAAGGAATCTGTAAGATGACTGAATGAAGTGAGGAATTATCTCTATGAGCTCCTAGAACAATGCAAGGCTCACACATGTAGCTCTATGCACGTTACGTGTTTATTTTTCTTTTTTTAGAGACAGGGTCTTACTCTGTTGCCCATGCTGGAGTGCAGTGACTCAATCACAGCTCCCTGCAACCTTTAACTCCTGGGCTCAAGTGATCCTCCCACCACAGCTTCCCGAGTAGCTGGGACCTCAGGCATGCGCTACTGTGCCTAATTTTTTTTTTTCAGAGACAGTGTCTCACAGAGTTGCCCAGGCTGGTCTTGAACTCCTGGGCTCAAGCAATCCACCCGCCTCAGCCTCTCAAAGGGCAGGGATTACAAGTGTGAGCCACTGTGCCCAGCCAGGTACATTTTTAGAGGGCTCCCAATTGCACTGGCCTGGTTGTGTATTACTGTATATATTGTGGTTCTTGAGTTCAACTTTTCTTCCAAATCTGGAAAAAAATAAGCTTGGTTTAAGAATTCTGAAGAAGAAAACATAGGCCAGGCATGGTGACTCATGCCTGTAACCCCAGTGAGGCAGGAGAATAGGGTCTGGAGGCAGGGAACCTAAGGCCCACCCACCCTGACTGGATATAAGATATAACCCCTCCTTTTTCTGTGTGGAAAATGAAAGTAACTCTGATTGGTCCCCCCTACAACCAATCAGACTAGTCGTGGACCACTAGAGTGAACCAATGGGAAACCAATGGGAAACCTCTAGAAGGCATATAAACCCCAGAAGAACCAGTGTTCCTGAGCCTCTTGCTTCAGCCGGCTCCCACCCTGTGGAGCATACTTTCATTTAAAATAAATCTCTGCTTTCACTGCCTTGGTTTTTTGTGCATTTTGTCCAATTCTTTGTTCAAAACACCAAGGAGCTAGACAACTACCCTCAACCAGTAATGCCACTGCTTTGGGAGGCTGAGGTAGGATTGCTGGAGGCCCAGAGCTCAAGACCAGCCTGGGCAACAAAGTGAAACCCCATCTCTACAAAAAATAAATTAGCTGGGTACAGTGGCATGTGCCTGGAGGCTGAGGCAGGAGGGTCACCTGAGCCCAGGAGTTTGAGGTTGGTGAGCTATGCCACTGCATTCCAGCCTGGGCAACAGAGCGAGACCCTGTCTCTAAAAAATAAGTAATTAACAGAATAGTCTCTAAGCTAAAAATAAAAAAATTTTAAAAGAAAACATAAGTTGGTATTAGAAAATCTAAACTGTAATCAGACTGATGAAATTCAGTAGTTTATGTAAAGAACACGACGTGAGGTCATGCGTATTTACCCTCACAGTTTTCTCTACTTTTCCTCATGCATTGTTCCTTACCCACTGTTGTAGAGTAGTAAAAAAACGTGTGCATTTCTATAGGTGCCATGTCTAATGGCTTCATCACAGCTGTTAGCCATCATTAACTCTTTATGATCATCTTCATACACTTTTAAGTCTGAAGTGGATTCAAGGATCTGTAAATCTTCTGAAAGAAAATATTTGGCTAAATTTTGTGCCAAGAGAGGGACAGACTCTAAGAGGCCTTTAAATAAAAACACTAAATACCACTAATGTGAAGGATCAAGCAAGTTCTTCTATTCCTCTGACTATATGCTCAGAGTTTTTTCTAATGTTCACATTTAAAATGAACACAATGAAAAATATCTTCATTATCCAAATGTGAGCAGTACCCAAGCTTCACAGCCCTGTCTCTGCCATGGAGAGCAGGCCCACACACTGCTGCCTGCTGGAGCAACCGTGCTGGTCACAGGGCCAGAGGCAGAGAGCCCTAACAAGCAGTCAGGGCGCTAATGAGGAAGGGGGGACAACCTGTCCTCTACAGAAAATAATGAGATTAATATGTTCAACAACTCCCATCCAGAATCCAGCAGGAAGTTAAACCAAACGACACATGATTCTCTGACGAAGAAATAAGAATACGGTTGACTGGTTTTTTATATTTATTTACCTGAAAGCTTCTAATGTTTCTAACTAGTGACATATTTCAGGCCAGGAATTCTGTTTGCCTAGATCATGATGTCTAAACACTGCACACTTGACCAACTTTGGATCCAAATAACTAGCTTTGTATGCTCTTGGGCCCTGCAGTACGGCTCTGCTTCAGTGGTTTCCAGCCCTGATAGGCACTAGGATTACCAGAGGAATTTTTAAAATACCAATGGGGGTTGGGGATTCCCGTCATCAGTGCTAAAGGCTACCAGGTGAATGTAATGTGTAGCCGGGGTTTGGAACCAGTGGGTCAGACATCAATCCTGACAGTACCACGGAGGCAGACTGTTCCCCAGGCCAGATCTCTCAGCAGCTTGACAGCGCTTTAAAGAAATCATGCACTCGATTAAGATGAAGGGATCACTATTTCTGCATGCTCTAAACAGAAAGATAAATAAGCTGCCCAAGAGGTGCTCAGCCAAAACCTGGGAACGGCTTATAGAGGGCACAGTTCCCACAGTCAACAGTGAGAGCTGAAAGTTTCCCTTTCTAGAGCCACAAGCTGCACTTCTAGATTTGCACTGGGGTATGAACTGGACTGAGCTCTCTGGGGGATCCTCCGGGTTCTAACATTGCCACCTGGTAGGTAATCCTTTCAGAAGTGAGTACCTGTCCCCACTCCAGCTAATGCAGACGGTCAGCACTGGAGACCACACAAGACCACAGCAGCTGGGAGACAGGTGAGAGATTTACCAGGACAGGGAGCTACCTGAGTGTGTTCCTGAAGTTTTCCCAGGTGTATCAGCTGCAGGTATCTTTTTCCTAACCAGGTCCATCACAATTTTCTCCATAAAGTTTTGTACCTTTCACACACATACACACACACACACACCCCACCCCATCCCATACAAAAAGTTTAAAGAAGTTTCTGGCATGAAAATATGCCCTCTTCTAGCTGAGACAGAGCACTTACTAGCACTGGATCCCATCCCACTCAACTTGCCTGCTGCAAACATGGCGGCAATACACATCCTTTAGTCTGCTGCAAGGAGGTTCTGAAGAAAGCAGTCGCCCTTTACTATTCGGTAAAGTCGTGTTATATTTTTAACGCACTGGATTAATCAGTCAAATCTCAGACATGACAGCAGGCTTCATAATCTTTTTTTCCTTTGTTATTCTTAGCTCAACTTCCACAGCTGAGTAAGAAGTTTTTCACATACTTACAAGAGTGTTAAAAATTTTATTCCTTCTCAGCAGGAGAGAGTTGGCCCTTCTTGTGACTTTGTCTCTGATTCTTGGGCAAGTTGGCTTGGGAATGCTACTGGGGAAAAACTCACTAATCTTTCATCATCATGAAAAAGCAACAAACAGAACAGGAACTCAAGTGATTCAAAATAAAAGGAAGGAGCCTGTCTAAAACAGTGGCATGTTCAAGTAACAGACAATCTTAAATAATGCAGCAATTTTGTTACTCTGTCCATTCTGTATCCAAAAGAATCTTCCAAAATTATAATAAATAAAATGATATGGTCAACACTTTGCAACGTGCCATTATCAGCCTATATTACTCAATGAGACACTAACCACATGTTAGTAACTGTAAAGAGGTGTTGTATGGTCATGCGTTAAAATATGGATGTGATATTGGTATAAAAGATCCTACTATGAGAGTAAAATTTGTATAGAGCCGTTCTTTTAATAATTCAGAATATGAATTAACATTTCAATTCAGATCAGATCTCAACTACTAAGGCAAAACCTAATGGGTCAGGTGGTAAATGCCAGTTACAAGAATAAATGAAAATGAGGCTGGGCATCGTGTCTTAGGCCTGTAATCCCATCACTTTGGGAGGCAGAGGCAGAGGCGGGTGGATAACTTGAGCTCAGATGTTCAAGAGCAGCCTGGCCAACATGGCAAAACCCCACCTCTACAAAAAAAATACAAAAATTAGCCGGGTGTGGTGGCACACACCTGTGGTCCCAGCTACTCAGGAGGCTGAGGTAGGAGGATCGTTTCACCCCAGAGGTAGGGGCTGCAGTGAGCCAAGATCGCACCACTGCACTCCAGCCTGGCAACAGAGCAAGGGCCTGTCTTTGGAAAAAAAAAAAAAAAAGAGGTGGGTTGGGGGCGGCCCTAGATGCTACATTATCCTAAAAGAAGCTATTGTTTTTAATGACTGCCTCACCTTTTTTCAAACTAGCAAGACCGATGGAAGGACATAACACGTGTTAATGCCCATCTGCAGAATGAGAAGCAAAGTCCAGACAGGTAATGCTGGAAGAAGATGCAAAGGCTACAGCGAATCAAAGCAAAGACTTGTGAGACAACTCAACTGGGCCTAAATCAAAGGCCGATCAAAGATACCGCCAGGCCAACAGCAAGGATGGTCCACGCTGGAGTCAGGGCAGTCTCCCCACACTCACCTTTCTCTTTTTGGCCAACTTGCTTGAGCTGTCTGAGCTCCTCTTCTCAGAGCTGTGCTTCTTCCCTGCGGGCGGCTGTTTATCTTCTGCTTTCCTCTGGCGGCTCCCCTTCCCGGGAGGCTGGGGTATCCGAGAGAGCAGGTCTAGGGTGATCTTCACCATCAAGCTTTGTGGGGGAGGAGTGTCCCTGAGCGGTGAGAGCAGCTTGGTGTCTCTCAAAGGCAATGGGAGTCTGTCTTTGCGGCTGTCCTCCTGGACCACCACGGCTTGGCGGCAGCCACTAGTCCTGCTGCCGCTGCCACTGTGGGGTGGGCCCTGGCTCTCAGTCAGGGGAACAAGAGCAAAGTGCTCAGGGGTCCTGTCCTCCACATTGTCCTTCGCGGGTTCTGGGCCTGAGAGAGCCTTAGAGGGGGCAGGGAGGGAGCTCTTGTGCTTCTTCTTCTCACTGGAGGGGGGCACTGCTGGCTTGGGTTCGTTGCTTGCTGCGGCCCGGGGCCGTCCTTTCGTCTTCACCTTGGGCTTGTCTTTGGAAGTCTGGTCTCGGGAGCCATAGGGAAGAAGCCCTGGCTCCCTTTCCCCCTGCAGGCTGGTCCGTGAACCTGCCCGGGCAGAGGCCTTGACAGGTTTTTTGGGTTGTTTGGTTCCAACGGTTTGCCTTTGTGGGGGCTCCTGCTGTGCCGGAGACTTCTGACAGCTCCTCTTTCCGGGGTGGGGGGCTTCGGGTGGGGCCCGGGGGGCTTTGCTGGAGCTTTTAGGGGGAGGATCTTTGGATTCAGAATGCTCCTGACTCGTGGCACTGTCGCTGCTGCCCTTACTCTCTGGGTGCCGCCGTGGGGGCTCTGTGCTCCTGGGGCCCTCTGGTGGCGCAGCTGGCTGGCTGACTTTGGTCAGCCAGTTGTCCAGCTGCCATTTGTTTGTTGTTGGAGGCTCAGGCTAAAAATAAGGAAAGAAAGAAAAGTGTTAACTGACCATTGATGACAAATTATTCTTTTGTGTTAGTCACCCAATTATACAACACTGTCCTGCAGAGGAGCAAATACTTCCAAACCCAGAATTTAGGTTCCGGTCATCCTCCTCAAGTTATAAGTTCTATAACAATTAACTCTTAAAGCAACCTTCACTTTTTTGTGGGATTTAGAAATTTGGTAATAGCAAATATTAATCAACAGGCAATTGCCAACTGCTGAGAAATCTTTATAATATATTCTAATGGTAATTATAGTATAATTTAAACAGAATTGACACATTTTGTTTTGTGAACTACTCTATTAAGGAATAATAGGAGGAAATGAGTAAAAAATCATTTCATCAAGTATTTGCAGAAGGCAGCTAATGAATAAATTTTTAGTGGGCTCACATTTTATCCTTTTTTTGACATATTTTTCAACTAAAGATGACTTTTATTCAAGATGAGATCATTTCTCTTTTTTGTGTGTGACAGGGTCTCAATCTGTCGCCCAGGCTGGAGTGCAGTGGCATGATAATAGCTCACTGCAGCCTCAAACTCCTGGCCTCAAGTGATCCTCCTGCCTCAGTCTTCCAAAGCACTAGAATAACAGGCCCATTTCTCTCATTTACTTAAAAACATTATGTAGTAAACATTTATACATGACAAAGTTATCATATCACATATAGTATACAGTGATTTGCAATTTTTATACCTTGATAAAGTCAGCTGGGTCACATTAGCCAAGCATTAATCCCACGTGAACTCTTTAAAAGTCAAACATTCGACCAATACGGTGATTCAGGCCTATAATCCCAGCTTTGGGAGGCCAAGACAGGAGAATTGTTTAAGCCCAGGAGTTCAAGACCAGCCTGGGCAACATAGCAATACCTCATTGCTACAAAAAACTAAAAAATTAGCCAGGAGAGGTGGCACGTGCCTGTGGTCCCAGCTACTCAGAAGGCTAAGGTGGGGATTGTTGAGCCCAGGAGTTTGAGGCTGCGGTGAGCCATGTGCACTCCAGCTTAGGTGACAGAGTGACACATTGGTCTCAAAAAAAAAAGGTCATACATCAAATCTCTCATTATAAGCAACCTGGTCTGAAACAGCACCTATGTTTCTAAGATACAAAGGGAGGCATACCGTCAGGGGCAATGAGAATGTACAATTGCGTGGCATAAAAACATAGGTTCCTGGCTCGTTACCTTAACTATTAGTTCAACCTTTGTTGATAAATTAACTGCTGTTGCATCCCACCACGTCTCTCCAGCTCGGCTGTTAGACCTTATTAAAAGAATGACGGAGACTCTTGTGTCTCCAAGTTCCACTACTCTATCTTGCATATAGTGGGTGCATGAGATATATGAGTATTCTGCTAGGTGGATTACTATACCCATGAATTTCATATCATATAGAAAAATATTAGTGTCTAACAGAGTGAGTGATAGTTACATTTATTTTAAAGACTATACATCGCTGTCCTTATGTCCTTATCTTAAGAAAAATACTAATTTATTTAAAGATCCACTCGGGGAGGTGGTTTGTAGAAATAAGTCATACACATAATGCATCAGAAAATTAGTTGAAAGACATCCCACTTCAGATTTATTTGCTTAGATTATAGATAAGGAGAACACTCCGGTAGATGGAAAGGTTTTAAGGGGAAGAAAGACTGCTGACAATTTTCCCGAGTGGAACATCCCAAATAATTCAACTCCATAAAACATGGAAATCCATGATGCAAAATATGTGGCTATGACATAAAGGCTTTTTGGCCAGGAAAAGGTTAGGTAATAAAAGGATCAGGTAGATAGTTTGGGTTTAGTGTGACTAACAGAACAGAACTAAGAAACTTAAAAAACCAGGCAAGAACATTCTTTGGACAGTAAGATGACTACATAATTCCTTTTTTCTTTCTGTTTACCCCATACTGCTGCTTATGATAACATTATCTTCCTTACGGCTTCCTTCGCTTATGTCAACTGTATACTCATGCTGTCATCTGAATTTAAGGGCAGAGAGGGAGGGAAGAAGGAAACCACTATTATGTGGCAGGCATTTTGTCACATGTAATCTAAATCCGTATTCAATATTCTAAGAACGCAGAATGGTTAAGAGTAGAGAAAAGATTAGCACACAATACCCACTTGTCAAACATGATTTCCTGGAGACTTCAGGGTGTGGTTACATAAGTGGTTAACTGATGGGACAAGGTAGTGAGATACATCACTTGCCAATCACATCAGGCACAAAGCCTTCACACCCTTCCTCAGGAAAGGTATGGACATATCTTACCCACTGGCTATATCTACAACTGCACCCCAATCCCTGACATGCTCTTTAGAAGACTATTTATGTGTGAACCCAAAAGGGAAGTCATTCCCAGTATAAATAACATCTGGTTTCCCCCCCAACCCTCAAAACAGGACAGTACTGAGATGCATTTAGTAGTCCCTAAAGGAACGTCCTGATTACAGAAATAAAATATATTCTTCCACTACAGTCCTAAAAATGTTCCAAAGGAAGGCCTATGTCCCAATTTGAGGGTAAAATTGAGTAGTTGTGCCAGACAAGGGGAACAGGTAGGGGCAATCCTGTATACCCAATATTAAGTTGTGAAATGGATATAATTTGATACATTATTTGGGTGTTGTGATGGAAAAAATGTTTTCATAAGGGATTGATTAAAAATATTTTTTAGGCTGGGCGCAGTGGCTCACACCTGTAATCCCAGCACTTTGGGAGGCCGAGGTGGGTGGATCACTTGAGGTCAGGAGTTCAAGACCAGCCTGGCCAACATGGTGAAACCCCGTCTCTACTAAAAATACAAAAATTAGCCAGACTTAGTGGCACGTACCTGTAGTCCCAGCTACTCAGGAGGCTGAGGCAGGAGAATCACTTGAACCCGGGAGGCAGAGGTTGCAGTGAGCCGAGATCACACCACTGCACTCCAGTCTGGGTGACAGAGTGAGACTCCATCTCAATAAAAATAAATAAAAATGAAAATAAAATATTTTTAAAAATAAAGTTTAAGTAAGGCCGGGCGCGGTGGCTCACGCCTGTAATCCCAGCACTTTGGGAGGCCGAGGCGGGCGGATCACGAGGTCAGGAGATCGAGACCATCCTGGCTAACACGGTGAAACCCCGTCTCTACTAAAAAAAAAAAAAAATACAAAAAATTAGCCGGGCGTGGTAGCGGGCGCCTGTAGTCCCAGCTACTCGGGAGGCTGAGGCAGGAGAATGGCGTGAACCCGGGAGGCGGAGCTTGCAGTGAGCCGAGATCGCGCCACTGCACTCCAGCCTGGGCGACAGAGCGAGACTCCGTCTCAAAAAAAAAAAAATAAAAAAAAAAAAATAAAGTTTAAGTAGATAAAAGTGCCAAGGTTTTAAGACTTTCAAATATCCTGGGAATATTTTATCTTTGTTTAGAGGATCAAAGTTTGGACTTTCATTTCTTCCTCTGCGTCTCCTCATCCCACCCCCAATCTGCCCTCCCAGTGCTGGTGCAATCCAAATACTGCAAATTGGAAATAGGAAAAAAAGGATATAATTATTTTTTATTAGGTGTTTTAATAAATTGGCAAAAGTTAGTATATTTGAGAATGAATTATGATTTTGAATTAAGAAGTTTTGAGCTTATTATTATGCACAATATAGATTTACTCTTTTAGTAACACTACATAGCTATGGGGAATATGAGTGCAAAATTTTTTTTTAAAAAGAGCATTAAAAAAATGGAAGATACACACTAATTTGTGGGAGCTAAAAAATTCAAACAATTGAACTCATGGAGATAGAGAGTAGAAGGATGGTTACCAGAGGATTGGAAGGGTAGTAGGGGGTGGGGGGATGGTTAATCGGTACCAACAAAACAAAACAAAACAAAACAAAACAAAACAAAACAAAACAAAAAAACCAGAACAAGATCTAGTATTTGCCAGCACAACAGGGTGACTGTAGTCAATAATACTTTAATTTACATTTTAAAATAACTGAAAAAGTATAACTGAATTGTTTGTAATACAAAGAATAAATGCTTGAGGTGATGGGTACCCCACTTACTCTGATGTGATTATTATGCATTATATGGCTGTATCAAAATATGTCACGCACTCATATATACAACTATTACATACCCACAAAAATTAAGACAAAGAAAAGAGAAAGTTAAAAAAAAATAAAAAAAAGGAGTGAGAAAGTTAAGAGTGAAAATTCCATAATTTACAGTACTGATTATGCAATATTAATGAAAAAGAATTCTCATTAATATCTGTATGTACAGCTTATTATGGAATTTCTGTTACTCTGAAACAACACCAGAAATTTATAATAATGCAGGTATTTATTGTAAAAGGAAAGAGATGTAGTTAAATACTTTAGGAAAAATTCAAAACTTAAAATCTAAACAAAGATAAAATATTCCCAGGAGGATAAGCCTCAGTATATAACACATACTGTCCCCAAGCCTGGATCTGCAATACATAACAATACTAGCCTTTTTTATTAAAGTGATTTTAAAAGATAAGGCAGGATGGGACCATTTATTTTACAGAGGTTTCACTCTATTCCAGTAACTTCTCAAGCAATAAAATATATCTATGTCTCATTACTACAAACGCCAGACTATCAAGTTTCAATTATTCAGCCAAATCTGTAACATTTCCATTTTATTTGAATTAAATGTTAATTATCTTTTCGATGTCAGTAATCTAACTAGCATGAAGATTTTTCTTAAGAATAAGGTGAAACATAAAGCAAAGATCTTATAAACACAATTTGTCTGCACAGCATATTCAGTATCCTTTTCCCTGAGGCATAGAAAAATTATTTCAATAGCAATTAGTATCATATAAGGAAACAAAGAGCCCCAGAAACACAGTGTAGTTTCTAAAATCTGAAAGGCACTTCAAGTGCAGTTAATACTGATGCATGTCTGTCCACTCCAAAACATATCAAGCTCTTATTTTCTGCGCCAGACATAGATTCGCATCTAACAGAAAATGACAGCCAGTTATTTTCTCAGCCTCCCTCACCCTCAGACAAGACCCTTAAGTCTCCCTACATTAGCTCCAGATGTATTCAGTTAATGCCCCATTGGAACTGCTTTGCTTTCTAAACAGAGACAAATACAGAAGGCTTTTTAATGCTTTCCTAATTAGAAAGCTTCATTTCCTGGCATTCCCTTATTAAATACATGGAATAATTTTCTCGATGTGGGCTGGTTTCATTCACCAAAAAGAAAAGCATGCCTTCCCTTTTCATTAATTTCTTTCCCCACCATAACTTTTACAATGCTACCCAAATTTTGAGGTTATTTGGCAACCCTGTTAGATGTTACTAACAATTTCTTGTGCTCAACAATCCAGTAAATAGCATAAATCCTCTAGATTTATTTAGTGCCTAAGATTTTCAGTCTTATCAGTTTGTCTTTACAATATTCTCCTGAGGGTGGGTGACAAGCAAACACCATCGTCCCTGTTTTACATGGGACAGAAAGGAGCAAGAAACAGAACCCTGACAAAATCACTTTGCCATCAATTTAATGCATGGCTTTTAGTGATTCGAAAATAGAACTCCTGATGACTTATTTCTAGTTCACATTCCTGCCCTTTGCTAAATCAGGCAGTCTCCTTTTGCTTTAATTCATGCATTTCTAAAATTTCACGAAGAATTCTCATTAATATTAAAATAGCAGCCTACTGAAACCAAGTTTTCTTTCTAAAAGAAGGGAAAAGAAAATGGTGTGCAAACAGTCTTAATGAGTTGATCTTCAAAACACCACTAGCAATGACAGAGAAGACCTATCATTTTCAACAGGGGAGAGAAGACCTCTCTCCCAACTCTCCTTTATTAAATATTTGGTAAGAAGCAAATAAATAGAAACAGATGGCTCTAGACAGCATAGGAGCAGGAAAGCATTGCCCCATGGGACAGAATGACTCAGTCTCATGGTCAGTCCTGGCCCACAGCACTGACTCTAACTTCAAAGGACAGAATGCTGCCATCTAAGGTGGCCATCTCGAGGGGGAACACGGTACCTCCGGAGCTGGGGTTTCTAGGGGCTCATTTTCTTCGCTGTCACTTGAACTGCTCTCGCTCTCTGAGTCTGAGGAACTGTCTGAGTCACTGGTGCTTTCTGACTCTGCACTGCTGGAATGTGCTGATGCCACTGGTTCTGGAAGGGACTGTGGAGCACTGCAAAGCAACCAAAAGATAAAATTAGAAGGCACGATACAAGGTGGATTTCTTCTTTCTCCCTTGCCCATTTTCCTGCTACTCAAAAGGGCGGGCCTTGGTATTAGATACACTGCTAAACTATCATGTCATCCAACTGAGAGAGGCCCAAAGTAGTTTAATAGAAAAGCAAAAACCTCTGAAAACTGATTGCCAGATAAATGCATAAAAGAGAAGCCTGTGAAATTTTACTCCTGAAGAATATGTCAAGTGATCCAAAATTTAAGTTAGATGCTGGGTGCTTCATATCAAGGGTTGGTAAACCATTGCCTAGGCTGGCTGCCTGCTTTTCTAAATAAAGTCTTATTGGAAGACACCCATACCCATTTTTTTAATGTACTATGTTTGCTTTTATGCTGCAATGGCAGATTTGAACAGCTGCAATAGAGACATATATGGCCCACAAAGCCTAAAATATTTACTATCTGATCCTTTTAAGTTTGCTGGTCTCTGTTACACATAACCAAATCAAATTAATTTCTGTAAGAAAAGCCAGTAAGTTAAAATCTCCCTATATTCTCTAAACAAGAACTGGGTGGTAGCCAAAGACCACTAAATATAAATGGTGTTCCTTTGCAAGGTGAACTCAAAAGTAACCAACCACTCACACTTCCTGGAAGAACTACAAAACGGACCATTCTTCGTAAGTGGCTTAGGGATCATCCCCAAATGTCAGACAAAGTAGAGATTATCTACTCCAAATTTTAAGAATGGGGCAATAAATCTAAGTTAGTAAGAAAACACATTGATCACACTGCTAGACACATATATAATTTCAAAGCATATATAATCTTAAAGCTTCACCCTAGATGGTATTAATTAAAGCAATAAGTCATTAACTATAATCTGGACAGATTTCAAATCTACCTAAAATATTTTCAAAATAGATTCATAAATAACACATATTAGAATAAAAATTATTAAACAATAACAAAATCACTAGTTGAGGTAACTTTAAAACACACACGATACCACTATATAATTTCCTCACAGAAATGCTGCACCCAGTTGGTGGCCCTGTCTCCATGGCAGCTGAAGAGCGTAAGCCAGTGATGAGCAAAAGGGGATACACTCTCAATGTTACTCCTGCCTCAAATTTGTACCCCCGCTTGGTCTCTTCTTTTTCCTTTTCCTCCACTTTTAGAAGTTAGGCTACCTTGTCATGTTTTATGAGTCATCATAACCCACCAGAAATTACTGAACAAAATAAGATATAATTGAACAAGCAAACCTTATGAATCTGTAAGAGTGCACATAATCACATGGGCTTCCTCCACATTAACTGTAACATCCCCTGCATAATGGACAAGATTTTATTGCTAATGTCGTCTCTGAGTGGATGAGCACATCTCAAGTGAGTAAAATAACTTTGTCCATGAAAGGCAGGTACCTGGCATATTACCAGAGGAAAGTATTATAAAAGAAGTTCAAATAGTTCATATTTTCAAAAATTAAATCATCACATTTCCTAAAGTATGGCTGGCTTATTCCATTTCCCATCACACTAAAATGTACTGCTGGTCATTTTGAAAAGCAGCTGAAACAATATGAAAATTCATGTAACTAAGAAAACAGGCATAATGGAAAAGAAGTTCTGGAAATAACTGAGCTTTATTGAAAACAGCAAATCTGTTACCTCCATTAAAACACTGGGCTCGTCAGTTTAACTTTTCAAATATTGATTACCTAATACTGATGATAAATTGTATTTTAAGCTTGTTTGTAAACTCCTTTTTTGAGACAGAGTCTCGCTCTGTCACCCAAGCTGGAGTGCAGTGGCACGATTTCAGCTCACTGCAGCCTCCATCTCCTGGGTTCAAGCGATTCTCCTGGCTCAGCCTGCCGAGTAGCTGGGACTACAGGCATGCGCCACCATGCCTGGCTAATTTTTGTATTTTTAGTAGAGACAGGGTTTCACCATGTTGGCCAGGCTGGTCTCGAACTCCTGACCTCAAGTGATCTGCCCACCTCAGCCTCCCAAAGTGCTGGGATTACAGGCGTGAGCTAGCACGCCCAGCCTGTAAACTCTTAAAAATCTTTAACATCTATACTGATGATGTAGATGAGTGTGGGGCTCTCGCTTCTATAGGGTTAACAACCTCCCTATGGCTGATTTAAGCTTCCAAAATATTAAACAGGTACTTTCCTTTTACTGTGATCCTTCAGCTCCTTCCCATGACAAAAAATGTGAAAGTACTAAATAAGGCTTTATTTTTCCCATTTGGTAAAAAATTGCAAACATTCTGTACAGATGGGGAGAAACCCACACGGTACCTTGGAGGTGCAGATGAGGAGGGAGGCTTCTCTGGGGTCTAGGCATTCACAATAAGGGGAAGAAAGACCAGGAAAAGAACAAAAAACAGGTTAGAACAAGCAGCTCAGATCTGTTAGATGTATTTAAAAGGACTCCTGGTATTACAGGCTGTGCAACACTTACTTGTTCACTGTCACTGTCCTCACTGTCACTGAGCTGAAGGTCGTCTTCGAGCATGCTGGAATGGGCAGGGACACAGAGAAGAATGAATGTGAAATGATTTCTAACAACTTTTCTAGCATGTAAATAGAAAATATGCCTAATTAAACAAAGAGAGAGGATATGTGTAAGTTTTCTTTATTTATTAAAGGCTGTGACTTCCTGAAAATGTTAAGTTTTACAATTATACAATTACAATGTACGAATACAATTATAATTATACAATTATAACACAGAAACCAGTTAAGTGCAAGCCTCTTACCATCTCAAAACAGACTCTTTCACATGCTACAACACTGAAGCAGAACTACCACAAGACAAGGATTCGTTGCGAGCCCTGAGACTAAAGTCCTTCACTCCTAATCAGTGAAGTCAGGGTCCATGCAAACAAAACAAATGGGGAGGGATACATAATATACTCAATTACTTTCTTCCATAAGCTCTAACTGAACTAAAGTAGTTAGCCATTAAATGAATTAAAGTTGAATGAATGAATATTTGTAAAGCACTCAGAACAGTGCCAGGCACATAAAAAGTTCAACATTAGAATTAAATACACAGTAAGATGTATGATGCTATCAAGGCAAACATCACCCAACAGTGCAGTTACTTTACATTTCTGTCTAAAGGACATTATTAATAGTGAGCTTTATTTTTGACAATAAATTATTCTCTTTTGCCTATGTGAACACTGATCAATGGGAAGAACAGTAATACAAACTCGATTGTCTACACATTATGTTTAACCTTATTGCTATTGTTTCAGTGAGGAAAAAAAAAAAAATTTCCTCAAACTTGGATTAATGTATCTGTAGGCATTCTGGCTTATGGTGAACCTAAATAGTAAAAAGCAAACATTTGTCAATCTGTACATGTGTTGTCAAATTTTAAAAACTCCACCGGCAAATTATTTGAGGTTAAAATCCTTCAGTATTTCCAAAAACACCTATTCAAAAATCTGATCAACAATTTTTACTGCAAAGCCATATCTACCACTGAAGAAAGCAGGCATGGTGTCTTTGGAAATCCTGGTAAAAATCACTATGTTTTCTAATGAAAATGAACGAAACTTGGCTGTTTCGTAAATGACCGCCTACATGAGGTGGTAATTCTGCCAAGAAACAACTTTCATAAATGTACTAAAAACATACTGGGATAAGTTTCTAAATAAAATGAAAACTGTTAGCAACTTGTAAATGTAGATCTTGCTCAATATTTATCTAACAGAAGCTAAATTCATATTTTTATTTCTTTTTGAGACAGGGTCTCACTCTGTTACCCAGGTGTGATCTTGGCTTACTGCAACCTCTGCCTCCTGGGCTCAGGCAATCCTCTTGCCTCAGCCTCCCGAATAGTTGGGACTACAGGCACAGGCCACCATGCCCGGCTAATTTTTGTGTTTTTGTAGAGATGAGGTCTTACTATGCTGCCTAGGCTGGTCTAGAGCTCCGGGTTCAAGTGGTCTGCCCACCTCAGCCTCCTAAACTGCTGGGGTTACAGGCGTGAGCCACCCTGCACAGCTAAATTCATATTTTTTCAAGGCTAGAAAATATAGCCTTCAGTCATAGGACTTGTCAGTTAGCAACGTAATGGTATACAAAAAAAGTCACTCAACAGGTTTATTGCTAAATGGTGGCTGGGCTGAGTTATACACAAACAAAAGATAAAAGATGTATCTTTGAAATAAATGTAAAGTATAATACAACCAGAAAAAAATCTGGCAAAGTGTATTCAGCATTAGTCACCAACCACAACAAAACAAAAAACTGACCTCTTTCTTAGTTACTAGGTTTGTTTTGAATAAAACTGATTTGCCTTAATTCCTGTAACATCAATGATCATGTAATCCAACCACATTTCCTGTTTTGAGCACAGGATTAAAAATTCTGTAACTTTCTCTTCTAGCTACCAAACATCTAACTTCCAAGAATATACTCTCCTAAAGTAAGTCAGAAAGTTAGAGAAAGTTCTGACTTTTGGCTCCACTTCCTCTTCAGGATAAACAGGCACCATGAAAATGCTGTCCCAGATTCTAAAAATTTTCCCTGCAGAGAATTACATAGATAGTAACAAAATAAGCCTACAGATACAAAACCTATTCCAAACCTAAAGAGTACGGACTGTGATCTCTGAAGGAAGATTGCAAAAGCTGTCTCCAAAGAAACACTCAGAAATGATAAACCAGTATGGTCAAACAAAACCTCTCCTCCCTCATTTGGGATGTATTGGGATTTATACATAAAGTATTTTACTTAATAAAAATTTGTGAGTATAATTTATTTGATAAAGAATAAACATATCTCACATGAGAATCAGCAGATATGTGTATTACTAGTGTCTGCTGGCACAGCCAAGAGTAACCACAAACTATTCCAGAAAGCCTGATTTACTGTATCACCAGAGGTGGGTATCTCAACGTAAACTAGCATGCTATTATTGGAGGAGAA